>NW_025791769.1:300000-469342 GCF_000001405.40 Homo sapiens | reverse complement strand
TGTCAGTTAGGGAGATTTTCTATCACAACTCTGCATTTTAGACCTTGGGAAGATCTACAAAGTGGGTACAGGGACACATTGTGCCTACTGGGAGATGAATCTGAACTGAAAGTTTATTGATCACTTGATATCCATAAGCTCCTACACTGACTTGTGGACAACAGTAGAGTTTTGATTTTGTAAGAATTAGCATGAGCTTGGAGCTAATGTCCAGTAATCACCCCCAAACTCTGGAAATTTCTTCTTTCTTAATGTACAGTTACCCTGATAAATGCATCCAAAGTATACATTTTTGGCTGTTTAGCAGGGTTCTTCCCCAAGTAGATCAGCCTTCCCTCCATTCAAGGAGCTCCGGTGTATGAACTGGCTCAAATATTGAACTAGTTGAAGTGTTATAGCTTTTTATTGTGCAATTCAAGTCATCTTGATGTCCACTAGATCTAGAGGTGTGTGTATATATATATATATATATATATATATAAATATGTTATATATATTATATATTTATATATATAATATATTTATATTTATATATATAATATATTTATATTTATATATATAATATATTTATATATATATAAATATATAATATACATAAATTAATATATTATATATAAATATAAATATATATATTTATATTCATATATATTATATATTTATATTATTATATATTATATATATTTATATTATTATATATTATATATATAAATATATAATATATATTTATATAAATATATACTTATATAAATATAAATATATATATAAAAATATATATTATATATAATATATAAATATATATAATATAAAATATATATATAAATATATATAATATGTATAATATATATTATATATATAATATATATATATAAAATGGGCATATATATATAAAATGGGCATATATATACATGCCCATTGACTTCAGTTTCAGAGAAACCAAGATCAATTAAAGAATACTGAATATCTCTGTAGGTCAAACCATTTTGACTTCTACTTTACCTCTACTACTTGTTGTGGTAAGGACACTCACCTCATCTCTGGCCTTAAGCACCATCATTGGCCTCTGGATACCTCAGGATCTCAAAAAAAATGGACTCCCAGGAATTCAGGGAGTTCATTTTAATGGCAGCAACTTTTACTGTTATTTCTGGCCTACAGAGAAGAGACTTCATGAGGCTTCGCAGAGCTTTTTGGGAGGCTTCCCATTCACAGCCTTGGTAGAAGGAGTGTTGCTGGTCCTTCTCACAGGACATAGGTAGGAGGTGAATGAGCAAGTGTTACATGAAAAAGCCACTCCAGTATTCCAAGCTCCTCAATCCAGGATAATTTCCTCTATCATAAACCAATAAAACGTTACTTTAACTTTATTTAGTGTAGGCCACTCTAGGGTTTAGGTTCCAATCAACTAAGCAAGAAAACTATGAGAGCCACTTCTGTCATTTGCCCATTTTCTGACAAAATCTCTTTTCCTGGAGAGTAGGCCTTTGTTATCAAGAAGGCTTGGGGCATATTTCAAAATGGTTACTTTTCTCCTGCCATCTTGGACATAACAAACGGACCTTTCTCAGAGCCCTGACTTGAAAACCTGGTGAGATTCCTGGAAGGAAAGCCCACAAATGTTTGGGGGCTTCCAGGAGTTTCTTACTGTCACATTAGCCCACCTTGCCTCCAGAAATTTATCAAGATTGCCATGGAAGTGTTCCTTCTGCTTCAGGTAAGCTGATCTAGGTTGCTGTATTTCTCTGTATTCAACTGTCTCTCAAGATTTCAGGTGACAATTTGCCCTGTTACCTCTGTTCTCTGATGAGTCTAAGAAAAGCTGTTGATTTTTAAACTTGTACAGCTTGAAGTTGTCCTTATAACTGTTCTTATTGTAAGAATGGGAATTACAACTTCCAAGATGTTTATAGGTTGGAGCAAAAACCAGAAATCCTCATTTTCTAGAATTTGCTTTTTTCAAAACAGTTTGTCCTCTGATAGTGCTATGAAGATACAATGGATATCTGTTTTCTGCAGATATTCATGAACATGCCCCTCTGGTATGCTCTCACTACACCCTGGGTATATTTATCACCTCCGTAGTATTTTCCTTACTGTGTGGTAAGTACCTATCTAGATATCATTGGCCTTCTAGACTGCAATCTCTGTGATGGCAGAGATGATATCTTGTTCATCCTCATAGACCAGTAACTGGTGCATTGCTTTGCATAGACTACTCAATAAATGAATGCATAAATGAAGCCACCTTAAAAACCAGGTTAACTACCAGCTCCCACATAGGGAAGGCAGGGTATATCCACCAATCATGACTGAAAGGGAAATATTTAGTTTTCATAATGATCACCATATTTTGAGGAAAAGAACATTTGTGCTACATAGCTTCTCTGCATGAAATGAAAAAGAAATCTAGAAGTAAGAGGTTTGCAGAGTATCTTTAGCTCTGCCTTGGATACAGGGCCTGCTTTCCTTCAATCATTTTCGGCTGCTTGGCCCCACACAGGGAAATGGATACAGCAATGTATTGCAGCTCAATGCTACTGGCTGCTGTGATTCACCACTCACTTTTGTTGCTCTGAGTCTACACTTACCAGTTAACCTTGGATTCCTACAGAGGTTGATGCTCAGGAAGAGAAGGCGCTTCTTAGAGAAGCATATACCCTTGTGAGGTACTTAAATTTTTCATCATTGGCTGAATACATCTGGTACTATGTATATAAATTTTGTCAATAAGGTTTGCCTCTAATAGATTCATCAGGCCGGGAGCATTAGTTTATTCCTGTAATCTCAGCACTTTGGGAGGCTAAGACAGGCAGATAGCTTGAGCTCAGAAGTTCAAGACCAGCCTGCACAACGTGGTGAAACCCTGTTTCTACCAAAAATACAAAAAAATTAGCTGGGCATGATGGTGCATGTCTGTGGTTCAAGCTACTAGGGAGGTTGATGTGGGAGGATCACTTGAGCCTGGGACGTGGAGTTTGCAGTGAGCTGACATTGTGCCATTGCACTCCAGCCTGTGTGACAGAGCGAGACCCCATCTCAAATTAAAAAAAGAAAATTAGATTCATAATCTCTGGGTGCAATGATAAAAATGATTTAGGGGCTCTGACTTGATAGTTAGATCCTGCTAGGTATGAGACACTCTTGACCATAGACTGAGGTTTTTCTTGAGTGTATGCTATGCCTCTTAAGGTAATATTTTGTTTGCTTTTATAAAATTGCCAATTCATATTCATCCATATATTGTTTATTTTGCATTGTTATTAAGTGGCTCACTTATGGTGGAATGTGTATATGAGTGTGTGTATAGATTTTTATTTTTATTTTTTAAGATGAACTCCTTCGATTTACGGATACTTATTGAGGGTCTATTTGCTAGGCGAGGTGGAAGCTACAAATATTAATGAGTTAAAATATTTGTCCTTAGTTCGAAGTCTAAATGCATGTTTACTAGTAACTATGATACAAGACATTAGTTCTTCAACAGTGTTAGAATCACCTTGAAATGTGTGAGAAATGCAGATTCTTGGGCCCAATCCCAGACCTAATAACTAAAAAATGTTGGTGATTGCTCCAGAGATCTGTGTTTTAACAAGCCCTCCGGGAGATGCTGGTGCACACTAATTTTGAGAACCACTTTCTAAGACAGTGAGAAAAAAATATCAGGTTTGGGTATATTTGGAAAGTCACCATAGTGACTAATATGCCATTTGTAAATATTTATGTTTATAATATAATATGCCATTTGTAAATATTTATATTTTTCAGAACTTATAACAAATAAATACAAAGTTGAAGGGTTTTTTTTCTCTTCTGCAGGGACAGGCACTATCAGGAATTCAATGTGTATTCTTCCCACCTAAAGTTTTAAACTTTTACTATATGTGTATAAAATCACAACTAATATGTTGCATTGCTTTGTGCTTTAACAATCTTTATGAATGTTACCTTATGTTATATTTTTGAGGTCTATCCATTTAAATTTTTCAGTCATTTTTATTGTTGATAGTATTTCATTGCAAAATATACCACAATATCTTTATCTATTCCTCTAGTGAGAAACATCTGAGTTGTTTCAAATTTGTAAAGAAGGAAAACAAAGCTTGTTGATGTCTTTAGTTCTTTTTTAACACTATGAAGCTGGATGATCTCTTTCTACTAGAGAAAAAAGTTAAAATCTAAATAACTCTGCTGGTCTTACAGTGCCTTTCATTTAGCCATAAGCATTTTATGCTTCCAGGCAATTTTTATGTTATAATTTGCTTTATTTGAAGATTATATAATTAAGTCCATCTACTTACTGTCCCTTTGTACTTATTCATCACATTGAGATTTGACCTCTCTGAAATTTCTTCTTTGGAAATTGTCTATAACGAGAACTCTCTGAATCTCAGCAGATGTTTCTAAACTCCATTGATTTCAGTTAGCATAAGTTCCCAACAGGTACTTCTAGGGAGATAGAGAGCTGAACAAATCAGACACTTGTTTATAAAAGTAAAATCATCTGGAAGGAGCTGACTTGAGAGGCTAACCTCAGGGTGAAGGCTGGATCTGCCTCACTGAACCCAGCCACAAAGAAAATCAATGATTCATTGGGGTGTAGACCCCAGGTCATTATAGCCCAAAGCTTTATAATCTGCTATATAGTTTGCCTTTTTAGGAAAGCTGTTTATATCTGGCAAATTTCTTTACTGTAACAGCTTCTACCATCTCCCAGGAATGCACTAATGTCCTTCAAATCCTGTCCTGAGAATTTTCCCAGAGACATGTGTGGTTGGGACCCAAGAGAGAATCAGCATCTCCTGGCTATGCCCTCACCCATCATTTAGAACTTGAAACCATTCTTGAGACTGTGAGCTAACTCATCATTCAATATTTAAACCTGCTCTGACATACCCCTATCCAGGAGTCATCTACACACTGCTGAAATGCCTCTGGTGGTAGGGTACTCACTGCTAAGAGCTCTCATGCCCTGGCCCCTCACAGTACCCATGTTCTCTCTTTTTCCTCCTAGCCATGCCTAGTTATTTACTTTTCTTTTTTCGTGTGATGTGTATTCCCATCCTTTCGTCCATCTCTGCACACAATTGAGTGTTGTCTATATTTTGTTTGTGTTTGTTTCTGAGAGTTATAAATCATTCTAAAGATCTAGAAAAGAAGTATTTCAACTATAGTGTTAAGTACATCAACTTATTTTTATTTTTTGATGGACTCTGTCTCATGGTCCACAGGCTGCTTTGATCAGCTCTTGGTTGAAATAAGAGCTAAAATATGCTGGATTTTTAGGTCTGTTGCTATCACCAAACCATAGGAAGACGTTTTGTCAAACACTGGGAACTTATTTTTTATAAATGAGAAAAATGAGGCTTATGGAAGAAAAGTTTCATATCCATTGTTACATTCAGGATTAAACTCTCATTCTCCTGGTTCTCTTACCAGTACTCATTGCATTATCTTTGTAAGACACTTGCAGGTATGAGTCTGTCATATATTAATTGCAGAATTTACAATTTGGCTTATGGGGAGGTAAGACTGTGAAGGTCATGTTGTCAATTTCTGTTAGTAAATTTGGGTAAGTGGGTTCCTAATGCTAGCTAGGTTTAGTTCTAAATGCAGCGTCCCATGGTCCTCAAGGATTAGTAAACAAAATCTTCTTTGTATATATTTAATTTAATTACAAGGAATATTGAGTGCCAATGCACTGACTTGGTGCTGTGGATATTCAGAGACATAGCCCTTGACCTTGACAAGTCCCATCTGGAGTGGAGACTGATGTGTTCATGGCTGAGTGTAGGAAGTCCTACATGTGAAGTGCAAAACAATTGCTATGGGGACACAGCCAAAAGAAAAGACTTATTCCCATTCAGGGAAATCAGAGGAACTGGGCTTTCGATAGAGGGAAGAGGGCAGAGCCATGTGAACATTTTTCCAAGTCAAACAGGTAGCAAAACAGGTAGGAAAACACAGGCTGTGTTTCCAGAATGACGAGAGTCAGTTCCAAGGTGTGTCACTGTCATCTAGATTCTCTGTTGGACCTTGAAGGACAATTTAGGCAGCTGTTTGTTTATCCGTTTTGGGGGTGGTTGATGCAGGGAAACAAGTCTTTCCCTGGAACAAGTGGAGGATGTATGAGTTCTCTTTTGAGACTGCTTGTGAGCATTTTCCAATTTCTTTGAGAGACTAAAAAGCATTAGCAGAGGTCAAGGAAAGGACATTATTGTTATACTCTGTAACACTAGAAGAAAAACACAACGTTGAAGTAGGCTGTCAAGATATTTCTCAACAACTCAACCTAAAAGTGGCTTCAAATAAAAGAGCCAACTGGAGCCTGATCCATTAGCATGGAGCCCTTTATTTCCCTAAATGAGAGCTGTGTCAGTATCCTTGTGTTTGTCTTAATTTTTACAGAAAGCTACTCACTTGGTCATACCTATGATAAGTTTAAAATTCAGGAAAAAGCATTAATCAGAATTTTAGAACCGTGGGGATGATCTATTGGATGTGTAAGACCTTTATTTTATACAAGACGCTTAGATAATGTTTGTTTTATATATTTTTCACAAGTATCAATTCACTCACTCAAGTTCTCAAGATAAATGTCCTAAGTATTTGCTATGTGTGAGGATCTCTCCTAGCATTGATGATACAAATATGCCTATGGCCTCTCTCAAGGAGCTCATGTTCTTACAGGAAAAAACTGTCCTATAAAACAAAGTTCCGACTAAGTGTGATAGCAAGTATAGTGGCAGCTCATAAGGCGGAGTAAATGAAACTGTCCGTGGGAGAGGGAGTATTGGAGAGCTTTGCAGAGGAGGCAATGCTTGCACTGGTTCCTGAGGATACATGGAAATTTATAAGATGAAAATAGTTGCAGGATGATTCAGTCAGAGGAAAATGAGAGGGAAAACGACTAAGTATGAGATGTGTTGATGAGTGGCTTAGAATCATTTGGTGGCAGGTAAAGAGACTCATTTCATACTTATTTAAACAAAAAGGGAATGCTGGATAGAAAATCATGACATCCCACAGATCCTGAGGGCCCAGAGCTGCCAAGCCAAATGAGGGGGTTGAACCAAGAACTGAAAAGGAATCCAATGAACCATAGATATCTAATTTATAGCTCTGAGTCTAAATTCCAAATTCTTGATAGAGAATAACTACCTGGCCCAACCTGGCTCGAGAATCTGTTCCAGTCGTACCATAATGATCAGAGTGGGAAGATCGTAGGGTACAAACATAGTTTCCCAGGCTCTCTGCTATGGATGAAAACTTTAAAGATGGGGCCTTGAAGGCTGCAGAGACACTCTAAAAGATGTCTGCTAATTGACTGCAAGCTGTTGGGAGACCTCAAATAAGAATTGGGAATTTTTGTAGTGCTAAAGTGCAGTGGAGTTGAGGGCGGGGGGTGGGGGCAGGTATGTCAATAGAGACAGATGAGATTGCAGGACTGGCATAGAGCACATTGTGCAAGATTCTCAATTTTTTTTTTTTTAAGATAATCAGGGACTTTAAAAAGTCTGGGCATAAAACAATCAGAATTGTGATTTGGGTGGTTAAGTATAATAGTGGTGTGGAAATGAACTGGAAAAGGACAACCTGAAAGAAGAGAAGACAGGTTAGAGGTTGCTGAAGTAGTCCATGTAAGAGGCTAGAGCCTTAACTAGATAATGAGAATGGATAAAATGAGATAAAATAGGAAGAAATTTAGGAGAAATAAATAACAGAATATTATGAACTATTCAATGTGTCTGAGGATTGAGGAGAGAAATAACATGATTGTCACTTTTCTGATATAAGCAGCAGAGCAGAAGGTGGTGCCATCCCCAAGGCAAGGACCAGAAGAGGACAAGGTTTAGGGGGAGCATAGTGGGTCTGCAGTGGGCATGGGGAGTTAAAGTGCTGGGGACCACCCAAGAGGAACTGGTGAGTGAGAAGATGGATATTCCCTCAGGAGTGAGGTTGGGGGCTACAGATGAGATCTGGGAATCATCAGCTGATGCTTGGCAGTGTAAGCCCAGGGGTGATATTGTCCAGAAAAAGCATGTAAAGTCAGAAGAGAAGCAGAAAAAGGAGAGAGTCCTGAAATGAGTCCACAGTAAGAGGTAAAAGGAAGAAAACCGTCTCACAAAGGAGACCAAAAAGAATAACCACAGAGCTGAGTAAACCAGAAAAGAAGGGTATCCTGGAAGCCAAAAATGGAGAATTTCAAAAGACTGGGAAGTCGTTTATCAGCACTTTGCACTGTTATATCTGTTTCATGGACAGTAAACTGAAACTTGGAGACTTAAAATGACAGAGTTGATTAGTGTCAAAGGCAAGACTAGAATGGAGATGTCTCAACTTTCAGTTCTGTGCTCTTATTTTCTATGGAACACCACAATACTTGCCTGCAGAGAGACTGGAGCAAGCCACCAAAATGTCCTGGAGAGGGGAGATGGGAGCCTGAGCTGTAGTGCAGGGTCCTACGTGTTGTCTGTTCCTGCCCTGCATGTACTTCAGCTGTCATCCCAGAGCAGGGGGCCGTGCAGTGAGCATAGTGCTGGCCTCTCACGTGTGGTGCCAGCCTGCAGTCCAGGTCAGCTTCCTATTAGCCCTGTGGTTTTTGTTGGGCTGGGCCTCAGTTTCCTCCTTTGTAAAATTGAGAAGTTAAAATTTATTCTCTCCTACCTCTAATATTATGATTCTTTTTATGATACAGTTTATAGATTTTCTCCTTATTACAGACAGAACAAATCCTCATAAACTCTCAATTCTGTTTGTAAGTATGAGGGTGAGGAGGCAATGAGAGGCACTGAGTAAGAATTGGAGACCTTTGTCTTTATAGACACAGATAATTCAGAATTTTACCAGCTTCTATAAAACCATGGGTGAATATGATGGGGAGACAGAAGAGCTAGGTGAGGATGCAAGAACTAATGGAGCATGAAGATCAAACAAATCAACTAGAGTGATAACAGTAAAAAAAGAAAAAAAAAAGAAGAAAAAGAAGAGAAGAAGAAGCCACAGCTAATTAAAAATAGCTGAAACCCAGGAGATGCATTTAAAGCAATCACATAGGATTGTTCAAATTAAGAACAACAAAGAAATAGCTACGCGAACTCCATATTCTGAGTGCTTTTAAAAAAATAATAAGCTGATATTAGAAAAAGCTTTTCCTTTTTCAAATTCCCCCCTCGTTGCAGAAAGAGAAAAAGAGAAAACTTTCACATCATTTTTTCTCTAGTCTTTGGGTGTTAGAATGAAAGGAGAATGAAATTAAAATCACTTCAAGCATTTTCCTTCTGGGCTGTAAAGCTGCTGGCATCATTTATCCCAGCCCCACACTTACATAATGTGGATACCACAGGAGCCCTTGGAAGTTATTAAATAAAAAGAAGACATCAAAAAATATAAAAGAAAGGCAATTAAAATGTTGGACCCAATAAGTGAGTCAGAAAACTTGATTTAAATGCAACCCAGGACCCAGAATATTGGATATTAAGGAGTGAGGGAATTCAACTGTGAGGAATAAGGGGGTTGAAAGAATACCTTTAGGAGCTGGGAGGGGACCACAGTTCCTTTGTGGCCAGGGAGTCTTTCTCTATGTAAAGAGGGAAAGGCATCATCAACTCATAGACTCTGGTAGTTTAAGAATCCCTGAACCTCGGAAGGAAAATGGGTATTGGGCAGGATGAGTGAGGAGGTATAGATCTCAAATGTACGGATCCCATGGGGTGGGATATTTGAATAAGAGATGGGGAGATAAGACTTAGAGGTTTTCCTTCTTTTGTTTTCTTTTGTTTCTGGTTTGTCGGACTGTCAGAGTGGACTTGGATGTCTTGTGTCTCTACTGGAAGTTGCACTAGCTTAAACAAGCAGGCTCTCAGTATGCTGAAGGCAACAGCATCCAAAACTCAGGCTCTTCTAGTCAAGACAGGGTCTTATGCTATCCTGGGAAGCCCAGGACCTTCCAACAGGAAGCAGAAGGTCATCTCCCTGACTCTGGCATCAAGGCAATGCCCACCTGGATCGATGGAGTCATGGGAATTTCCCTATTGTAACTGCATCTTCCCTTGAGTGTTCCTTGGGGCAATGCGATGGCTCAAAACAGCATAGGAGCGGAAGAGCTGGCATGTGACAGCACCAGCATCACTTCTATCCACTTTTTCCAGAATAGGCTCAAAAGCAGGAAGTTCAGAAATCATCAATAGGTTTAGGAGATAACTTAAAAGGCAGGTCTGGGCCTTCCAAGAAGGGAAGAGTGGGGGCTCCACAGCACAGACCTGAAATATACTACCACCTGCTCACTGCTGTAGTCTGAGAAATGTGTGTGTCAATGGGTCTCGCTGGATCTCCATAAGAGGCTCATCTCCTGCTGGAATAACCTTTGGAGATGCTATGGGAAAGAGGGTCTGCTTCTTCCTTATTTCAAATCCCACTACCACACCCTCAACTCAATTTTACTTTGGAAAATGTCTCATCCATCGTCCTTTCCTAAATCCTGGGATCTTACACCATATTCCACATCTGACAAGGTGAAAGGCACTTGTGGTAGGCTGAATAATGCCCCCAAAAAAGAGATCCAGATCCAGATTCTCGGAACCTATGCATGTTTCCCTATATGGTTATATGGTTTTGCTCTGTTTCCCCACCCAAATCTCATCTCAAATTGTAATCCCCAAGTGTCAGGGGAGGGACCTGGTGGGAGGTGATTGGATCATGAGGGCAGTTTCCCCCATGCTGTTTTCATGATAGTGAGTTCTCACAAGATCTGATGGTTTAAAAGTGTTTGGCAGTCCCCCCCTCGCTTGCTCTCCCTCTCTCCTGCCACCTTGTGAAGAAGATCTTTGCTTCCCCTTTGCCTTCTGCCATGGATTGTAAGTTTCCTGAGGCCTCCCCAGCCATGTGGAACTGTGAGTCAATTAAACCTCTTTTATTTTTAAATTACACAGTCTCAGGTAGTTTTTTATAGGAGAGTGAAAACGGACTAATACATATGGCAATAGGGACTTTGCAGGTGTAAACAAACTGAGAATCTTGAGGTGGGAAGATTATCCTGGATGACCAAGGTGGGCCCTAAATGTAATCAGAAGTGTCTTTATATGAGAGAGGCAGGGGACAGATGAAAAAGACTAAGTGACACTGAGGCGAGATGCTGAGCCCCTGGCTTTGAAGATGGTGGAAGAAGCAGCTCTAGGAGCTGGAAAAGGCAAGGAAACAGATCCTCCTCTCGAGCCTCTGGAGGAAACACTGCCTTTCTGAGACTTTCATTTTGACCAAGTGAAACTGACTTCAGACTTCTGACTTTCAGATATCAGACTTCAGACTTCTGACTTTCAGACATCTGACTTTCAGATGTAAACCAACATGTGCATTGGTTTAAAACACTGTATCTGTGTTGGTAATTTGTTACAGCAGGCACAGGGAGCTAACAGAGGGAATACCTGCCTCATGTGATGTTTTTATTTTAGGCAAAGGAATGGACATACAAACAAACAAAATGTTTTCAGTCCTGGGAGTTTGGTATGCAGGATTTTTTTTTTTTTTTTTTTTTTTTTTAAACACAGTCTTGCTCTGTCACCCAGGCTGGAGTGCAGTGGCATAATCTTGGCTCACTGCAACCTCCGCCTTCCACCACACCCAGCTAATTTTTGTATGTTTAGTAGAGACAGGTTTCACCATGTTGGCCAGGCTGGTCTCGAACTCCTGACCTCAGGTGACCACCCACCTTGGCCTCCAAAGTGCTGGATTACAGGCGTGAGACACCACGCCCGGCCAGTATACAGGTTCTATTCTCTTGTTTTTTCTTTCTATCTTAGTCTATACCAAGCCCAAAATCTTTCTTCACTTAAATATAGTTCAACATATTCCCTGACAACCATACCAGTTTGATTTGAGATCAACTTAGTTGAAACAGCTTGATGCATTTTATTGATTTTTGATGGCAACATTAAAGAAAAAGGCCTGAGGGACTGGGCTGCTCATTTCGTTTTTTTCCCTGTGGATATGAGCGAACAGCAAAAAAAGACTGGAAAAGTGGCAACTCGCAGTGATATTAGGGATCCTGCAAACTCCCTTTTCGTGGGGTGCAAATACCCCAAGTTGATCACAAGTTCTCTTAAATCTTGAGTGTGGCTTCACTGGAGAAGGCCAGAGGTGGGGTTTATGGCCACAGGCTGCACAGACCTGCCCTTCCCTCTGTCCATGTCTCTCACTCTTCAAGCTGCTCACTTGGAGTGCTCAGACTCTTTGGATGGCTTTGTCTTTTGAAGGGGAGGACGCTCAGGTCTGGAGGTCAGGAAGAATACAGTACGGAGAACTAAGGACCAGGCTTGAGTTTAGACCCTGAAGAATGGATTCCACAGCTTCTATGTCATCAGACATATCCTGCCATCAAGAAAAGAAGGTAGATATTGAAGTGAAGAACAAGGTCTGGAAAGAAAGAAAGCCTTCAGCATGAACATTCCATATGGTTGAAGTGGGAAATGGTTCTAGCAGAACTAGGCTAAAAATCTTTGGCAGCTTCAGGCTGTTGCCAGTAGAGACCTTAGTCATGGGGCTTCCTTTAAGTGTTTCTGAGCCAGAGGAGGACAAGGCTTCTCCTCCTGCTGCTAGGGATCCTGGGAGGTTGCAGATTCAGCTTTGCAGACTGGCCTAGGTTGGAGTCAGGGAGCCTGCCTGGTGCTTGATGTCTTAGACAGATCTGAGAGCTTGGGGCTTGTGGAGCTAGTCCTTCTCTCATGGGGCCACCTCAGAGTGTATGGTTTCTGTGTACTTCGAGGTTGATGGTCATGCAGGACAGAAATTATGGTTGAACGTCTTACTTAGAGCAGCTCTAAGATGATCAGGAAGATTGTTTTACACATCAGGAATGTAGTTTACTTTCCCAGGTAAAAAAAACTTGAGCCTTCAATTCAATTTTATACCAAGTTTTCAACTCTAAGCTAACCAATGTCTCCTTTTCTCTTCCTCTCCCTCTTTCATTCCTTCTTTTTCTTTCTCTCTCTTACGCTCCTTGAAGCATCAGAAATAGAAATAGAGGCTGAAATAGAAAAACCTACTGAATGAGAGGGCTTTGTCTCCTATCCTTCATGTACAGATCTTGAAACTGAGGTCAAAAGTTAGTGACAGAGCCAACTATTCATATTTTTAGTATAAGATAATCTTTCTTATACACGATGTGATGACATATTGTGAGACTATCACCAAAGTGATTTTTACTTTGCTATCAGAATGACCCTTTAGTAGTCTGTGAATTTGTTAGTGTAAAACTCAGTAGCTTCCCTACTTTGTTCTCATTCAGTTCACAGGATCACCACTTTTCCTTAGGTGCTGTGCTATTTATTCTAGCATCAAATTAGTGGCAGAGTGGGATATTATATTAACGACTGGGGGAATCAGTAAGGAATCAGTATTTCCCAAATCTATAAGGTACTTTGGGCTCAGCTGCTTTGATAAGCTTCAGAATCCTAAGGGTTTTTTCTTTATTTGAGAATCTGCATGATGTAGTTAAAAGAATATTGAACATTTAACAAGAACAACCCATTTTCTCTCATTTAATCCTTACAACAACCTTATGAAATAGATATTAATTTTTAAAATTGGCATGATTCCATTTATATGTGAAGTGTGAAAACATTTAACTCATAGAAACAGAGAGTAGAATATGTATTAGTATTATCTGTACTTTACAGGTGAGTCTTAGTGGGAGATTGTGCAGAGCCTGGACTCAAATCGGCTATGTTTGGCCTCAAGGAATTACTTGTCTATATCTACTCCTCATTAGGTAAGAGTCATACCCCCTTGACATTTCTTCCTATTAGATTTGGGTGTATCTTGGAGTGAGATCCAACATAGGCAAACTGAAAGTGTCTTGTTGGATATAGTCTGTAAAAAAGCAAAAAAAAAAAAAAATTGGGAAAATACAGTTTGCTGGGTGGGGGACTGATTGTATGCCAGTTGGATAAGTTGGACTGATGGGATAAATAAGTATCAACTCTTGAAGGATCATGAATAGAGAAGTCAGTGCCTTCATATACACCATGGAATACTATGCAGCCGTAAAAAATGATGAGTTAATATCCTTTGCAGGGACATGGATGAAGCTGGAAACCATCATTCTCAGCAAACTAACACAAGAACAGAAAACCAAACACCACATGTTCTCACTCATAAGTGGGAATTGAACAATGAGAACACATGGACACAGGAAGGGGAACATCACACACCAGGGCCTGTCAGGGGGTTGGGGGCTAGGTGAGGGAGAGCATTAGGAGAAATATCTAATGTAGATGATGGGTTGATGGGTGCAGCAAACCACCATGGCATGTGTATACCTGTGTAACAAACCTGCACGTTCTGCACATGTATCCCAGAACTTAAAATATTGAAAAAAAAAAAAAAAGAAAGAAAGAAAGAAAAAAAAAGAAGTCAGTGCCTTAGTCTGGGACAAGGCAAATGTCAGAGCACATAGACAGGTCACTTCCAAAGCCCAGCCTAGCATTCATTGGTTGGATTTAAGGTGGCTTGGCAGCAGGGAGAGCTAGTATGATTATTGGATCTCAATCATGTAAGAGTTGGAAGGCTGGCCTAGTGAGGGAATAAATCAATAGGCATTCTGGAGGGAAAGAAATGACAGGATTAGATGGCAATTAGACATAAGACCTTAAGGAGAGTTATGAATCAAGGGTGACCCTGAGATTCCTCCCTGATGTCTTTTACATCTAAAAACTGTACTAAAATAAGGTGTCCACAGGAGGCAACTAGGGTGTAGCTCAAGGATTTGGGGAAAATGTCAGGAAATATTCTCTGGCATGGAATTTAACAGAAATGCATGACATTCATCATATATGAAATGTTTTTAGAAAATAACCCACTTGAAGATGACTTGTGAATGTTGCCAGTCAATCAATAGCTTTCTCTAAATCCCTCTGAGATATCTCAAAGATATCTATTTCAAATATAATTATACGTGTCTGGAAACTTCTAATTAGTCCTGTCTATCAAGAAAATATGTTGAGTGGTAACCCTGATTAATACAAGGTAAAACATATTTTTGTGACTGGCTAAAGCAATTAACAAAGGAAAACTAGAAAAAAAAATTGCCTTATAATTATTTAGTACTTTCTAAGGGAGAGAGAATCTGTACTCCAGACCTGGAGTACCTATGGATTAGGATATAAATATCTTTTATTGGTGAGAGGGTGATTATTGTGCTTACCACAGCTAGTATTATCATACTTTGCTGAGCCAATTAAGGGCCAGTCTGTGGTTGTATACTGTCCCTCCCTAAGTTACTGGTGCACTGTCTAAGGAACTGGTCTCTGAGACTAGGCATGGTCCACGCAGGTCAATGATGATCTCAAGATGGGCCCTTGGGAAAACCACTGTTCATGGCTAAGCAGAATTCATGAATGCAAATAGGACAATACTCAAAGGAGAGGAAGCAAAAGGGTGTGGATATTTGCCACACAATGAACACTTGAAAGAAGTCAGTTCCCAGCCTTTGGATCTGTGCAAGCAGAGGCTGAACTTGTTAGGATGTTGAAAAGGAGATTCAAGATTTAACTGATGGCAGGACTCAGGGACCTTTGTGATTCTTCACATCCTGAACATCTATTAGTTTATTGAGTCGGAGGCAGAAGTTCCATCCTGTTCAAGAACCAGTGTCCTTAGTAGTCATTACCTAATGTATATTTATAACGGTGAGTCAAATAAAGCTCCAGAATTTACCAACAAAAAGCAAAAGTCCCTGAGAACAAAATGGACTTCACGCCCACAGCTTCCATTAAAGTTAATAAGAAGTTAATCATGTCAATAGAAGTGACATTGTAGAATCTTGAGAAACTTGGGGAATAGAAAGACTCAACATGATATTGGATGAACACTAATTCAAATAACTTAACTTCGCATAAAGTGCGGAGGATAAAGGACAGTGAGAAATTGTCTTAATTCTTTGCAGAGCACTCCAATTCTAGCTGCAGTAACATTGCCTCTTAGCTTGAAGTGTTTGTCCAAATGAGCCACTTTATTTAAAAAGAGTGGTTTGAGCTACTTAATAGCTTCACTACCAAGTCACGAAGGCTCTGAAAGGGTGGCCTTGTCATAACGTTGTTCCCATTCTGTCTGCAGAAGTGCCCAGTCTGATTTCCTTCTCTACCTCTGCTTTTTAAACCTGTAACCCTTTACTAATGTTTTCGCTTTGGGGTTATTTTTTGTTAATTTTTCTTGGAATCCTATCTGCTTATATATAAATAAGGAATTGGAGAAGGAAGGAAGGTGTGGGAGTGAGTGATGGGGGGGCAGAGAAGGAGGTATCCCAGCTCTTGGCAAAATTTTATAGAGTCCTAGAATGCCGAAGCTGGGAGGGTTATTGGAGATTAACCCCAATCTCTCATTTTACAGTTCAGGAAAATGCAATCCAGAAAAGGATAGGGAATTGCCCAAGGTTTCACGTAGACTAGAGAAAGGAAGAGCTGGGAGAAGATCTCATTTCCTTTAGCTGTCAGGCTGCTTTGTCTTTCTGCTGATGATCGTATGATGGTCTCCTGGTGGCCCATGGCTTTCTTATCCCTTGTGGTCTTGTGGAGTGCTTCCTGGCACCATTTATCATTGTAAACTTAAGTAGGCTCATTCAAACTACGTCACCTACTCCCCAGAGTTGACTGGCTCCTCTCCCTGCTTAGTTCTACGGGATAATAAAGTAGTACTCTGTATTACTGCTTTTGGTAGAAACCCTTCAGTGCTTCCTTCCTCGAGGCACTTGTTCACATTATTTCCTGTAGGATCAGACTGTCCTCTTAATGTCTTCTATAAAGCATCTCTTTTTCCCTCTCCTGCAAAGTTTCCTCATTCTCTCTGAACCTTCATCCAGCATTTCTGATTGATGTTCTTCTCTAAAGCTCTTATTATTTTCTAAATTGTAGTAGTTATTCGAATAAATGCCTTAAAGCACATGGTGAAGAATCTCTTGAATTAGGGCCCAAGCCCGATGGCAGGGCCTGGCACACACATAAAAAAATGATCATAGCAACAGAAAATATGAACAAAGCACTAATTAATGCCAGAAACTGTTTTAAGCATTTTTACGTTTATTCATGCTTTTAACCTCACAACAATCACATGTTGTTATTGTTTTTATAATCTCCATTTTACAGATGAGGAAATTGAGGCATGGAAGGTTTAGGTATATATTGTTCAAAGGCACCCGGCTAATATGTAATTACACCAGTATCTGAACCAAGGAATCTGGCCCCAGAGTCCAACCCTTAATCACGACTCAGAATAGCCTACATATGTTTGTTAGAATATCCATACATTCAAATCTATACCAAGGTCTAGGTTTATGTCTATGTCTCGGTCTGTGTCTGTCTGTCTGTCTCTATCTCTCTCTCTCTATCCCTCTGTTATCAGTCTACATCTACATGTCTGTCTGTCTGTCTCTGTCTCTCTCTCTATATCCCTTTGTTATCAATCTACATCTACATGTCTGTCTGTCTGTCTCTATCTCTCTCTCTATCCCTCTGTTATCAATCTACATCTACATCTACATCTACCTATGCATCTATGGCTATAAAGGTGTTAATAAGTGGTATTTACTCAGATGAGCACTCATCCCAATTATTTAAAGACTGCTTCTTTTACTATGAACCAAAGTAGTGAGTATTGTGGATTACTGAAGCATTAGGGCAAGCTGAGAGATAATAGTCTAGGGGCAAAAGTGAGGCCTTGTCTTTAATTGTCTCACCTAAGACATGTCCTGGATTTTCTGGGGAGTGAAAGTGAGAACAGCACTTTATTTTCAATTATCTCTAAAGCTTCCTTGCTTTCCTATTTACCTTTGTAGACTCATGAACAAACACTAAAAGGTTCAGGCATGTGGAGGCTATAAACAGGCTGTGTCTTCACATGAGTAAATATTAACAATATCTGGTTTTCCTGTTACCCCATCAAG
The DNA here is from genome assembly GCF_000001405.40 of Homo sapiens. Classification (NCBI taxonomy): domain Eukaryota; kingdom Metazoa; phylum Chordata; class Mammalia; order Primates; family Hominidae; genus Homo; species Homo sapiens. Next base: position 451,416 of record NW_025791769.1, on the reverse strand, counting down.
ATAGGTACCAGGAGCTTTAATAATTAATCAAATTAGGACCTAAAAATCATTTCCCTTTTAGGAAGTTTCTTTCTGTTAGCTATCAATTAACACTGATGACTGCAGCTCCCTTCTCAGCGTGTTTCAAAAAATGGGAAATGGAAAAGCTCTGCAGTGTGTTAATGGAGCCATAATACACATTGCCTAATGAAGCATGAAGGCCCTGTTTACTCTGAACACTGTAATTATTTAAGAGCTTTTAAAACCCAATGTCAAACCTTGACTCTCGCCTACTTCTTTCTCATGACTGGAATGAGGCACTTAATGTTTTATCTGAACTTGGTAGAGGGGAGCTGGAAATAAATAGCTAATTATGAATTTCCATTTGTCAAACTTTTTCATTGCCATGGAAGGCTTTTGCCTAGTCTGGGCTCTTGTAGATGCTTCACAGCAACTTTCAGAGCTAACATTTAATGAGCGCCTACTACATGTAGGGCCTCGCAAGGGGTATCCTGCATTGGTTGTGAGACTCAGACATGTCCAAGAGCACACAGGCATCAAAATCTAGACCTACTGCCTTTTGAGACAGCAGAACCTGGTGTCTATATGCAGGAGTCTTGGAGTCAGACTTTCTATATTCAAATCCTGGCTCCATTACTTATGACTCTGTGACTCTGGGAACATTACTAAACCTCTCTGTGATTTCTAGTCTCATGAATAAAATGGGGCTGTGACAAAGGTTTCTTGCTTAGTCAGACTTTAGTCAGGCTACCCTGAATCCTCTTTCCAACAAGGCTTTTGCAAATATTTCCTTGTACCATGTACTTTGAGCAAGAATCCTGTTAAGTCAGTTTAGGGAGATCTCCCCACACTCAATATTTGATAGCTGACCAAGCTCCTTATCCCCACTATCCCCAGGTGATATCAAATCACCCTGGCCTGCCTTCAGCAAGAATTCCGTTAGGTTGATTCAGCCCAAATCTCCCCAGACTTTATGTCTCCTCTACTAATTTTTTTTCTACCAATGCCCCACTACACATTCCTCTTTGCCTATAAATTCCCACGTGTTCTGATTGGATTTGGAATTGAGCCCAGTTCTACACTGGAGTCTCTCTTCCTCTATTGCAATAGTCTTTGGAATAAAATCTATCTTCACTGCCTTAACTTCTGTCTTCTGTCTGGCTGTGTTTTTCCCTAACAGCTAGTGATAACAACGGTTATCACCTTACGGGGTTGTTGCTTAGACTAAATGATCTGCCTTTCACAACAGTACCTGGCACACACTAAGAGCTCAGCAAATGTTAGCTGTTATTATCTAACTCTTTGTACCACATTATGTGGCTTCTGAAAAATGTCAACAAACACTCACTGCATGCATGGAAGAGGTAAAGGGCCAAACACTGGTGGAGGAGAAAGATCAGAGGCTGGCAGTAGAAACATCTTGTCCAGCTTGTCCCTGCAGTTATCTATACGGCTGGTAATCTCCTCTCCCTCTGAGATTTAGATCCCTCATCTGTAAAATGGTAGTGGAATTTCTCCTTCTTGGCAGCCCTTGTGCCTGCTGTGAAGATTAAAGTCTACATCAACATGAGAGCGATTGGAAATTGGCTGGCACTGCGCTATAAGGGAGTGCAAGTGCACAGTGCTGTCCTGTATACTTTAGGAGGTATGAGGACAGATAAGACTTATCCTTGTCCTCAAAAGGCTTGCTGCCTAATAGAGTACCCAGACAAACATATAAGTAACAATAACACCTGAGAAGTAAAAGGGCACACAAAGCCAAAAAGCAGAGAGTTGGTGTGGGGGCAAGTCATTCTCAGTGAGTTAAGGAAAAGTGGCTTCCTGAAAGAAGTCACGCCCAGGTCAAGCCTTAAAGGATGAATGAGATCTAGATGAGTGTAGAATAAGGTGAGGGCATGCCAGGGGAAGGTAATAGCAAAATAAAGGCATAGTGTTGGTGACAAACAGAATGTGCATATGGTGTTTTGCATAGTGTGGTTCAAACCCAGAGCATATCTAGGAAAAATGCAGGCACCTGGACAAAAGACTTGGCTTCAGTTTGAACCTCAGCTTTATCACTTAATAACTATGAGATTCTTAGACAAATCACTTTTTAAACTCATTTTCTACATCTGTAAAATGGGAATGCTAATCCTACCTAACTAATATTTATGAGGATTGATGAATTAATGCAGGTAAAATACTTAGAATAGAGCCTGACTCATAGCAGGTGATCAACAGATACTGTCTAATGTTCATCACCAAGAGATAAGAAGTAAAAGTAGATTGGGATCAATTTGTGTAGGACTCAGCATATTCAAATAAGAAGCATGGCCTTTATTCAGTAAGTGATGGAAGACCACAGAAAATTCATGGGCAGGCCAATGAAATGACCTCTGCTAAGAGGCATGGAAACTACTCAAGAGCTGTCTGGAAGATGACAAGGTGGGAGGGCTTCTGGGATGGATGAGCCTTGCTCATAGGTGAGGTTATGGGCACAGTAGCATTTCCAGCTACGCAGTACTTCCACATAGTAAAATGGAGAAGAAGGTAACATTTCCACCTCAGTATGAGAAAATGTAGCCATAGAGAATCCAAACAATTTACCTACTATAATGTAAATATTAGTGTCCCCTCCAAAATTAATGTTGAAACCTAATCTCCAAGGCAATGTTATTAAGAGGTGAGGCCTTTAGGAGGTGACTGGATATGAGAGCTTCATCTTCATCAATGAAATTAAGTACTGATAAAAAAGCTGCTGAGAACTAGCTAGATCCTTCTTCCCTTTTGCCATGTGAAGACACAGCAACAAGACACCATCTTGGAAGCAGAGAGTGGCTCTCACCAGACACAGAATCTTGATCTTGAACTTCCCAGCCTCTAGAACAGTGAGAAATAAATTTATGTTGTTTATAAATTACCTAGTCTTGGACATTTTGTTATAGCAGCACAAATGGACTAAGACATTGCCTAAATTCATATAGTTCAGTGAATCACTCTCAGTCATGAAACGCCTGCAAGTGCCAGTGTGTGGGGTAGGTGGGCAGGTTAGAGGGCATTCATTTTAGCTGTTGACACCCCAGTGTCAGTGAGAGGTCAGGGAGCAGGTTTGAATACTTGGGGGAGGAAAGAGCCTGAGGACTCTGGATCTCTATGGGATATGAAGTGGCCAATGGGCAGACTTGGAAAGAAAACCAAAGATGTCAGATTGGCTCAGAGTCCCCTGTGCTTTGCAGCCCTCATCTGATGTGATGTCTCTCCTGACTTCATATTGTCACCAGCACAATGGGTTTCTGCCCAGGGATCTCTGAGTTAGTGTACCTTTTGTTCTCCTCCATGACAGGAAACTGACAGACCATATGCTGGTGGATTTTAAAGGTCTGGCTTGGCTGGTGCCCACTGCCCAAGAAAAGGACAGGGGTCTGAGGAAGAATCTGACAATGATCATACCCTACAGACAGACCCTTCTGCTGCTCTCTCATCTTCCACCCGCAAAAGGAGCTCAGAGAGCAGAGGGGCATAGTAATGCTCCAAGGGTCTGATATTCAGAGACTCATCTACCATTACCTACCTGGCAAGGGGATGTGAGAAGTGAGTCCTGTATTGTCATAATGACTTCTGGGCCCCTTGAAATCTGTTGAAAAACATCACTCACCAGGTGAGATTTCTTTCTCATAAACATGTCCTCAGGAATATAACACTGAGGCAAAGTGGTTTATACAACACCTTCCTGACAAGGCCCTCCGGAGCTCTTCAGAATGAGCTCACAAATTCACGGGGATTCCTTCAGCTAGGGAGAAAGGAATGTGATAACCTTTTGGAAAATGTTTTATTTTGCCTTGACTTGTGTCAACTCATGTCATTTTCTTTAGCTGAAACTAAAAGCTGACTGTTAGAATTTTTGGCATATTTCAGTGTCCAGAATAAATTCTGAGACTTGTTTTCAAAAATCTTAAGATAATGCCTGCCCCTTCTGCACAGTCTGGGTTATATCTATTTCCCTCAAGCACAGCCTGTGGCTTCTCACTGTTGCTGAGGTTGGGTCTAAACATCTGAAGTCCCCTGACTAACTGGTCTCAGTCTTTCTCACATTATATCTCCTATCAATTTTCTTAGTATGCCTTAACATTCACATACACTTAACCTCATTTTCTCCAACCTACTAGGCTCTATCTACTTCTTTGCTTTTCTCACATGCTTTTCTGCCTGGAAAGTTCTTTGCCAACATTGGCTACTTATGAAAACCCTCCTCACCAAAGGCCACCTTCTCTTTGAAGCCTTCTCAGATTACTTTCCCTACTAAAATGATTACTTTAGTGATCCCAAAGACTATTGCTTGTACTTCTGTTATTTGATTCCTTTTATTCATTAATTCACCAGTTATTAATATCTATTTTCCCAAAAGCTACTGTATTTATGGCTCTGTGTTACACCTTGTAGAGACACAGAAATGAGTATTAAGAGAGAGAGTCAGGAAAAATACTGAAAGAGAAGAGTGTAGTAATACAATAGATACTTGTGCAAATATCATATTTTTTTCCTTCATAGACCATATATTTGCAGGAGGCAAAGTGGTATAAGGAAAAAGTGTTTGGTAATTGTCATCAAAAAAACCTGGGTACCATCACGTTAACTGGCTGTGGAATTGAACTTTCAGTTCTTCTTCTGTAAATGGGGATAATAATATCTCCTTCTTGGAGTATATCGTAAGATTGAATTGAGCAATAAATATAATGTGCTCAGCTCATGACACCAACTCAATAAATAAACCAACTCAATAAATAAATAGTTGAGTAATCAGAATTTAGTCCACAGAAAAAGAATCAGATATTTTCTGTGTACCTGAAATTGAGATGGTAAAAATCCACTCAAAATAAGAACAAACAAAGGCAAGAAAAGTATCATGTAGAAGGAGTTTCAAGGCATATTCTTGCTCATTAGTATTTACTACAATTTAAAATGTGTTTGCTCACCAGTATTTACAAGTCTACCATGTGTGTAAGCTGGGCACAAATAAAAAGCAAATAAGTAAAGTTGACATAGTCTGGATGGAAGAATTATTGACCCAGGGAAGCAAGTTCTGGGAAGAGAAGGATATTGAATTTCTAAACTGAAAAAAAGTAAGGTATTTATGAATTAGAAGAACACTATTAAAGAAAAGAGTAACCAAACCTTTAAGATTAAAATTATTTCTTCTCCTTGGTTCCTTTGTTCTTCAACATTTCAAGGATGGCACTTAAGGTAAAGAAGCCCAATACGAAGTGGCAACCACCTTCTTCACTCTGATAATTTGGAGAAGTGATGTCCTAGCTTATATCTGCTGTAGAATTTATTATATCAAAATATAAATTACTTTGTCCTCTTTTCTGTTGGACTGTGATATCCTTGGGGGCAAGAGAGAGGATAGCATTTATGGTTGTTCTCTTGGGCCTTGCTCTAAGCCAGAAAATATAAATAGCCATGGAGGAGGAGAGGAAAGGTGAGTAATATGGTTTGGATCTGTGTTGCTGCCCAAATCTCATGTCAAATGATAATCCCCAGTGCTGGAGGTGGGGTCTGGTGGGAGGTGATTAGATAATGGGGGCATATTTCCCCTTTGGTGCTGTTTTTGTAATTGTGTTTTCAGAAGATCTGATTGTTTAAAAGTGTGTGGCACCTCTGCCCTTTCTCTCTCTTCCTCTTGCTCTGACCATGTGAAGTGCTGGCTCCCCCATTTGCCTTCTGCCATGATTGGAAGCTTCCTGAAGCCTCCCCAGAAGCAGAAGCCACTACGCTTTCTGTACAGCCTTTGGGACACAGAGGCAATGAAACCTCCTTTCCTTATTAATTACCCAGTCTCAGGTATTTCTTTATAACAGTGTGAGGATGGATTAATACAGAAAATTGATACCAAGGAGTGGGGCATTTTTATAAATATACCTGAGGCCAGGCACAGTGGCTCACGCCTATAATCCTAGCATTTTGGGAGGCTGAGGTGGGCGGATCACCTGAACTCAAGAGTTTCAGACCAGCCTGGGCAACTTGGCAAAACCCCATCTCAACAACAACAACAAAAAAAAAATTAGCCAGGTGTGGTGGCATGTTCCTGTAGTCCCAGCTACTCCAGAGGCTGAGGTGGAAGAATCTTGAGCCTGGGAGGTGGGGGTTGCAGTGAGCTGAGATCATGCCACTGCACTCCAGCCTGCACGACAGAGAGAGACCTTGTCTCAAAAAAAAAAAAAAAAACTGAAAATATGGAAGCAACTTTGGAACTGGGTAATGTGCAGAGGTTAGAAGAGTTTTGAGGGCTCTCAAAGACAGGAAGATGTGGGAAAGTTTGACCTTCCTAGAGACATGTTGAATGGTTATGACAAAAATGCTGATAGTGTTATGGACAATGAAGTCCAGCCTGAGGAGGTCTCAGATGGAGAAGAAGAACTTATTGGGAATTAGATTAAAGGTCACTTTTGCTATGCTTTAGCACAAAGTCTGGCTGCATTGGGCCTGTGCTCTAGGGATCTGTGGAACTTTGAACTTGAGAGTGATTATTTAGGATATCTGGCAGAAGAAATTTCTAAGCAGCAAAACATTCAAGATGTGACCTGGCTGCTTCTAACAAACAATTGCTCATATATATGAGCAAAGAAATGACCTAAAACTTGAACTTATATTTAAAAGGGAAGTAGAGCATAAAAGTTTGGAAAATTTGCAGCCTGGCCATGTAGTAGAAAGAAAAGCCCGTTTTCAGGAGAGGAATTCAAGCAGGCTGCAGAAATTTACATAAGTAAGGAACCAAGTACTAATATCCAATACAATGGGGAAAAGGCCCCAAAGACATTTCAAAGACCTTTGCAGCAGCCCCTCCCATCACAGGCTCAGAAGCCTGGGAGGGAAGAAGGGTTTCATGGACTAAACCCAGGGCCCCACTGCCCCGTGCAGCCTCAGTGCACTGCTCCCTACATCTCAGCCACTCCAGCTCCAGCTGTGGCTCAAAGGGGCCCAGGTACAGCTTGGGCTGCTTCTTCAGAGGGTGCAGGCTGGAAGCCTTGGCAGCTTCTGTGTGGCAGTAAGCTTGCTCTGAGTGCAAGAGTTGAGGCTTGGGAGCCTCTACCTAGATTTCAGAGAATACGGAATAGCCTGGATGTCCAAGAGGAGGCCTGCTGCAGCGGTGGAGCCTTTATGGAGGACCTCTACCAGGGTAGTGCAGAGGGGAAATGTGAGGTTGAAGCCCCCACACAGAGTCCCCACTGGTGCACTGCCTAGTGGAGCGGTGAGAAGGGGATCACCATCCTGTAGACCCTGGAATGAGAGATCTACCAGTAGCTTGCATCCTGTACCTGGAAAAGTCACAGGCACTCAATTCCCCAATTAAAATGGCGACTTCAGTGATCTCAAATACTATTGCTTGCACTTTGGTTATTTCAAATAACCTGTTATTTGAGAGCAGCTGCAGGTACTGAACCCTGAAAAGCTGCACGGGTGGAGCTGCCCAAGGCCTTGGGAGCCCATCCCTTGCATCAGTGTGCCCCAGATGTGGGATATGGAGTCAAAGGAGATTACTTTGGAGCTTTAAGATTTAATAACTTCTCTGCTGAGTTTTGGACTTGTGTGGGGCCTGTAACCCCTTTCTTTTGACTAATTTCTCCCTTTTGGAATGGCAGTATTTACCCAATACCTGTATCCCCTTTTTATTTTGTGATTAACTAACTTGTTTTATGGGCTCATAGGCAGAAGGGACTTGCCTTGCCTTAGATGAGACTTTGGATTTTGGACTTTTGAGTTAATGCTGGAATGAATTAAGGTTTTGGGGACTGTTGGGAAGGCATAATTATATTTTGAAATGTGAGAAGGACATGAGATTCAGGAGGGGCCAAGGGCAGAATAATATGGTCTGGATCAGTGTTCCCACCCAAATCTCATGTCGAATTGTAACCCCCAATGCTGAAGGTGGGGTCTGGTGGGAGGTGACTGGATCATGGGGGTGAATTTCCCCCTTTGGTGCTGTTCTCATGATAGAGTTTTCATGAGATCTGATTGTCTAAAAGTGTGTGGCGCCTCTACCCTCTCTCTGTCTTTCTCCTGCTCTGGCCATGTGAAGTGTTGGCTCCCCCTTTGCCTTCTGCCATGATTGGAAGCTTCCTCAGGCCTCCCCAGAAACAGAAGCTAATTCGCATCCTGTACAGCCTTTGGAACTCTTAAGTAATGAAACTTCTTTCTTTATAAATTATCTAGTCTCAGATATTTCTTTATAGCAATGTGAGAATGGACTAATATAGGGAAGGAAAGTATAAAAGAATGAGGAAGTAAATAAAGGAAAAGTGGAGAGAAACAGTAGGATTCCCTCTCCATTCTTTATCAGAATCAGATGATAATTACAGCTTCACTTGAAGTTAATTTCATTAAATTGTGAAATTGAACAGTTTGCAGACACTCACATAACATTTATATCAGTAGTTCTCAAACATTAATAAGTGAAGAAGTCCCTTTTAGCCCAGGAATCTGTACTTTAAACAAACTCTCCAGATAACCCTGGAGCGAGTGGTCCTTGAACCACCCTTTGAGAAAGAAACACTGTATTCCCTTAGTGTCTCATTTTTTATTCATTCAGCCAATGAGTGTTTATCAAGGCCTATTATGTGTCTGGCACTGTGTTGGAATATGAAGAAACAGTGATGAATAGGTTGGGTAAAATCTCCACTTCTGTGAAGCTTGTACCTGAGTGGGGAATCCATGCAAAGGCATTCTGAAATAAATAGAACAGGCAAAAGTCTATTTTACTAATCAGGAAACTGTGATTCAAAGAGGGACTCTTCTGGCTCCAATTCAAAGCCTTTCTGAATAAACAAACAAAACAACTTACAAATATATAAGCATAAAATATACTTTAAGAACCTACTTTCTTTGTTCCCATTCCAACCATTTTCCTTTGAAAGAAAGGGAATGAATGGGCACAGGGCTTTTAATTGTTGCTCACAAAAAGTGCCATGACTGTGATTTTCATCATGGTGCTGCCCCTCAGGTCGATGGTTCAGAAATACAGGAGCATGAGTAATCTTCCTTCATTTGGTTACTTCGTGATTACAGGCATTCTGGCTCTGATGCCCTGGTCTCCCACTTGCTAGCTATGTGATCTTGAACAAGTTACATAACCTCCCTGATATTATGAACCCAAAAATATCCGAGGCCGGTCTCAATTAACTTAGAAAGTTGTTTTGCTAAGGTTAAGGACATGCCCTTGACACTGCCTCAGGAGGTCCTGATGACCTGTGTCCAAGGTGGTTTGGTCACAGCTTGGTTTTATACAGTTTAGGAGACATGAGGCATCAGTCAATACGTGTAAGACATACATTGGTTTGGCCCAGAAAGTCAAGACAACTTGAAGTGGGGGCTTCTAGTAGGTAGATAAGAGACAAAAAGTTGCATTCTTTTGGGTCTTTTACAGCCTTTCATTGAAGACACAACTCACATGTGAGTGGGGGTAGAGGAACTTATGCCTTAGTCTGACTCAGTGAATCTGCATTTTTACATAAGCAGTAGGGCAGAAGAAGCAATTGGATATGCATTTGTCTCAGGTGAGCAGAGGAATGACCTTGATTCTGTGTGTCCTTTGTACTCCATCTGTGAAGATAAGCTATCAATTTACATAGCCAAGGTGAAATTCAACAGAATTGGTTTAAGGTGAAGGTCTTGAGGCCCACAAGAAATCGCCTGTTGGCAAATTGTGAGGGAGATATGTAGCTTTTAAAGCAATCTTTGTAACTATCTTATCTTGGAACTAAAATAGGAGGCAGGTTTGCCTGATGCAGTTCCCAGCTTGACTTTTCCTTTTGGCTTCATGATTTTGGGGTCCTGAGATTTATTTCCCTTTCACAATATGGTCTTCTCTTCTGTAAAATGGTAATAAAATTAGTACCTGCCTAATAAGATTAAAATCAGTTAATTCATGTAAAATGTTAAACGCAGATTCTGGTATAATAAGTGTCCCATAAGTCTTAGCATCTGTTGTAATTGTTTATATTGTTAGTCTAAAAGTCCTTTAAATGAGTTTCCTATGGAAGTCCCGCAGTGTCTGTGAGGACTCTCCCTGGAGACTATTCCTTAGAGATGCATTATTTTCTTCCACTTAATATGTCTGCACTGGCACCTGCTTCGCACCCAGTGAGGTGCTAGGTGCTGTGAAAGGTATTGCCGTCAGGAACCTCACAATCTGCTGGTAGAGGTAGATGCCTACACAACAGACCATTCTATACAGCAGAATAATGGCAGTGCTAGGAAAAGGTAATGCAGGGCTGTGAAGGGATAGAAAGGCTGGGGTGGTAGAGAGGGCTCCATAGTAGAGGTGCCACTTGAACTGGAGAACGAAGGAAGAAAAACAGGCAAAGGACATTCCACGCCAGGGATTTAGGCCTTGCTTTACAGAGAAAATGAGAGGTTTTTAAAAATGGCCCCAGAACATTAAAAGTGTACTTTCAGACAATAATGCTGGTCACATTAAGGAATGGTTGGAATGGATTTTAGTTTTCTGTGCTAGTCCATCTCTTATTGATCCTAAGTGTCACAAAGTCTGGGAGAGGTGAAAGAACACAGCATCTTTGAGAAATAACTAACAGTTTATTGCACTATCAAAGGTTGAGCTGTGTGGAAAAAGGGGGTAGGAGACAAGGCTGGAGGGCTAGTCTGGGATCCATAGAAAAGCAGGCTCAGGAATCAACTTTCTTCTGAGGGCAGAGAAGCTATTGGTAGAAGGAGGGGTGGATGTCCCCTGACTCCTCTCTGATGGTATGCTCCACATACACTTAGACATTTGCACAAATACATTAAGTAGTCTTAGATTTTTAGAAAATCTATTTCAGAGCCATGAAGTTAAGGCTAGAACACAGAAGGTTTCAGATTCCATGCTGAAAAGTTTGCACTTTATTCTGCAGAATGAAATAAAAGTTTCATAAGAAGAGTCACGTGTACCATGGTGGATGCTGCCGGTGCCTCACTCAGGCCCCTTTAGTATTTGTGTACCCATTCCCAGGTGCTGTGAGTGTTGATGTGTCAGGCCTGCATCACTTCTCTGAAAAATGGGAGCCTTTCCAGGACAGGCCTCAGCCAACGACCATTGTGCAAAGGGCTACTTCCCTTGCCTCAGGGTGGGACTGACTATGGGTGATTTGTGCTCCTGTGGGATTGGCTCTGACTGAGCTTTTCCCCTCTGACTTATTCTACTTCTTTTACTTTCCTTCTCCCAGGTGCACTCCCCCTAGTAAATCCCCAGAATGAGAATCCCATCTGAGATTTGGCTTCTAGGGATCTTGACCTAAGTAAGCCATGTGCTAACCTGTTTTAGTAGATACTAACTCTAGAAGCCACCTACAGGGAAAATTGAAGACAGAGATTGAAAGCCTCATTTTCTTCAAACTATAGTAGGAGTTTTTAATGATGATTTATCCATCCATATTCCCTATGCTGAATCATTATTTAGCTTTTGATGTCCATTTTCATCTCTCCTGACAGTCTTGGTATTTGTTTTACCATAGGCAGTACCTTTCATGATGCCTGTAAAAAGCAGTGAAACAGAAATTCCCCTGGTTTTCTTTGGGCATACTTCTGAGAATTTTAACATTTCTCTAAGATATAAATAAGCAAAAACCTCCCATTTGCCTGTAGGTGGGTGTCTGAAAGACATAAACTTCAGTAAGCCAGCTTGTTCTTGTTGACAACCTGAATCTAATTATGCACACGCAAGCACACCCACAAACATCCAACCTTCGTCAGCCTAACATTCTGGTGCAGCGTTGATAAATATTTGTGTTTAATGGCACTTAAGGGGAGCATTTTGATTTCTAAACATTGGCTGGTGAGTAATGATTTTGCCAAGAGCACAGCAAGAATTTTGCAATCTTGACTATTCCTAGGCTTTTGATGACATACAATTACTCCACACTGCATAATGGAGTTGAGAGAAATTCTTTAAAGAACTTGTCACGAGGGAATACTTTCATCAAGAATAAGGGTGGGAACACCAAATGAATTTCAAGGCAGTGCATTTTCACATTTTAACCACCATTCTTTTCACCTTTTGACATATGACTCTTCTGAAGGGCTCTGTTTCTGCAATGGGGCAAAAGGAGCAATGATGGGCTCAGTCCTTGTTCCTATCTGCCAGGTTTTAGAAAAGCACCCACTTTTCAGTTGAACAGACCTAGGGATGAATCCCTAATTGTTGTGTGAGCTTGGAGGTGTCTTCAGTTTTGAGCAAGGGGGCAGAATTGTGAACTGGGAAAGGGTAAGATCCTATAGAGGCAGGTATACAGGGCTCCATTGACTGTGTCACTTTGGGTGAAATAGTTTTCACCTTAGGGCCTCCATTTGTATTAATCTAACATGAGAATTGTAACACCTTGCTGTAGTCAGGGTTGTAGTGAGGAGTAACTGAGATGACATGTGTAAACTAGTATAACACGGTTCACAGAGAGAACATTGGACAAGTGTGGGCTCTTCTCTAGGTGCCAGGTTGAGAGTCAAGCTCTCCAACTCCACATCACTTCGAGTCACAGGGGCACAAGGGAAGCCTGCAATGTCATCGAAAGGCCCTGGCCAGGGAGACTGGGAGGCTGCTTCTGGTCTCTCTCACTTCCATTTATGTGTTGTGGATTTGACAGACATTGTGCCTTCTATGTGTCTTCCTTTGTATTTAGCCTTCAATCGTTTGTATTTATTCTTCAATACCTTTGCCTTCTGAACCATTTACTTGTCCTTGAGTACTGGCTATGTTACTGAAGTTTTATTTTTAGAAGCATATGTTTTATTTTAGAAGTATATGTCTTAACTCTCCAACCAGGACATCAACTGCTTGAGGTTAGAGACTAATCATATTCATCTCTGCATCTACCCCATCTACCCCACCCCCATCCAGTTCATAAAATGCACCCAGCACACATTGACTGTTAAGTAAATATTGATCGATAGATGGTTTTTGGCCAGTTTGTGAATTAGGCCCTTGATTTAGAATATAAGGTATTTGTTGATATTATTTATCTTCATTTAACAGTTATTTCTTGTGTACTGGTTTAGGCACTGGGAAAATAGTGGTGAATATGATAGAAAAGTTCCCTGTCCTCAATGAGCATTTTAGTGAGGAAGAGACAATTATCAAGTGTGGAAGAGAACAGGTAGCGATAAGTGTTATGATGGGAATAACTCAAGGTGCTTTGCAGCAGTGGTAAGAGAAGTTAATAGGGTGGCCAGAGACAGCCTCTATGAGGAAGTCAAACATAAGCTGAGCTGCAGATGACCAGTGGGAACCAGCCATGCAGAGATACACAGAAAGAATGTTTCAGAATGATGGAACAGCTCGGGCTAAAATCCTCAGACAAATGCTCATGCAAATGTCCTAGTTCATCAAGTTAGGGGACCAGAAAGAATGCAGATGGGAGGGAAAGCACAGTGGGGACTGTGGTTGAGGATCAGGTTTCTAAGTACTTAAGCACATGAAATGATCCACTCTCAACACACGGCACTGTCATTCTGACTTAGTGGCTCGGTGCTTTTGCTTTTCAACATTCAGCAGGCAGCACTATTTTGACATTCTCTTGTTCTACATTGAGAAGAAATAGCCCCAAATTTCTTATGATTTCTTCCCTTTAGTAAAGTAATTTACGAGCCATACTCACTGCTAAATTTGCTTTTCTTCCCTGCACTTACCTACTTCAGAATTTCCAAAATTTTCAGAAAGAATGATGAAAAGGATGCTAAGTTGTCACTGATCTACTTATTTACAGTTTTTTTGGGTTTTTTGTTGTTGTTGTTGTTTGTTTGTTTGTTTGAGACAGAGTTTCGCTCTTTCACCCAGGCTGGAGTGAGGTGGCATGATCTCGGCTCACTGCAACCTCTGTCCCCCAGGTTCAAGCGATTCTCCTGCCTCAGCCTCCCGAGTAGTTGGGATTATAGGCACCTGCCACCACACCTGGCTAATTTTTGTATTTTTAGTAGAGACAGGGTTTCACCACTTTGGCCAGGTCTCGAACTCCTGACCTCAGGTGATTCACCTGCCTTGGCCTCCCAAAGTCCTAGGATTACAGGTGTGAGCCACCTTGCCTGGCTTATTTACACATTCATTTGTTCTTTATCTACTTTCCCAAAAGATTTGTGGCTGCCTATGTTAAAAAGCACAGATTATCTATATCGATACCTATATATAAATATATCTATATCTACATTTAAATCAAACAATTTAAACAAAATATTATGACAAACCAAGTCATACCACAGCCTATGCTGATGGGATGGTGAGGAGCTGCACGCTGTGCCAGAGAAGGTAATGGAGGGGCACAGCCAAGCTGCCAGGCAGCCGGTACAACAACTTCCCACAGCCCACAATGTACTCACAGTTTTGAGTTTCATTCCAGTTATGGAATGAGACTGTGAGGCCTCAGGCAGCTCACCTCCCTTCTGGGCCTCAATTTCATCTGAGAAATGAGGGAGTTACTAGGTAAGAAGACTAAATCTGTGGGCTTGTCTAGCTTTAACATTTTGTGTTAAATTTTGTGTTTAACACTCTAGTTGTGGCTTGAGCCACAGACTGGCCAGAGTGGAATTGCCAGGTAGGAAAGGGTACTTGGAAGGGGTCAGTCCTGCTGCAGGAGAAGACAAGGTGTTCCAAAAAGGCCTGCTCACTCTTTAAATGGCATAGTGTAGTGGTTAAAAGCCTACATTCTGACAGGTGGACTCCCTCAGTTTGCATCCTTTGTTCAGTTACCAAGTTTTTCTTTGCATCTTTATGTCATAGGGCTTGTCTTAGTCTTTTCAGGCTGCTATAGCAAAATACCACACTACTGAGTGGCTTATATACAACAGAAACTTATTTCTCCGAGTTCTGGAGGCTGGAAAGTTCAAGAACAAGGCACTGGCTGGTTTGGTGTCTGGCAAGGCCTGCTTCCTGGTTCACAGATGGCCATCTGAGATTGGAGTAAACACAAAATGTTTCTTCTCTGCTCTTACGCCACAACAATCAACACAGAAGACTTATGTGACTAAATGTTTAGGGATTTTCTCTCTACCATCAAGCAAGCATTCAATTCTGTAGTGGATGCCAGCTGGGTGTCTTATTCAATTCAATTCAATTCAGTTCTTACACTATCTACCTGCAGGGCTATCTACTGAGCCCTTTCAAGTTGAAGGCTCAGTCCCCAAGACTGTCCCCTACTTTTTTTTTTTTTTTTTTTTTTTTTTTTGAGGTGGAGTCTCGCTCTGTCACCCAGGCTGGAGTGCAATGGTGCAATCTCTGCTCACTGCAACCTCCACCTCCTGGGCTCAAGCAATTCTCCTGCCTCAGCCTCCTGAGTAGCTGGGATTACAGGCAGCCATCACCATGCCTGGCTAATTTTTGTATTTTTAGTAGAGATGGGGTTTCACCCTGTTGGCCAGGGTGGTTTCAGACTCCTGATCGCGAGTGATCCACCTGCCTTGGCCTCTCAAAGTGCTGGGATTACAGGTGAGAGCCACTGCGCCTCAGGCTGCTTTACCTGTGCTTCTGACCAACCAGATATAAATCAGGGATCTCATTACCCACCTCCTTGGGTTCTATAAATTTGTTAGAGCAGTTCACAGAACTCAGGGAAACACTTACTTATGCTTAATGGTTTATTATAAAGAATATTACAAAGGATACAAATAAAGAGATGCATAAGGTGAGGTATGGGAATGGGCATAGAGCTCCCATGACATTCCTGGGTGCACCACCCTCCAGGGACCTCTACGTGTTCAGCTATCTGGAGGCTCTCTGAATTCTGTCCTTTTGGGCCTTTTATGGAGACTTCATTGGATAGGCTTGATTGACAGCCATGTGGAAATGTGATTGGACAAGAAGAGTATAATCTAATACTAATAACTGAGCAGGGATCCCCAGCAAGTCCTGCCTGTTCAAATTCTTTTTGGCCTCTCTGTGCAGTGTTCCTTCCCCAGGGTACGAGGCTGAACCTCTTTGGAAGCAGAGGTCTTATGATCTACAATCAGACAAGGTGGGTCAGAAAATTTCTTTATGACCAGAGGTGGGGGAAGATTAGAGTGTATTTTTAGTTTCTAAATCCTGCCTTGAGGAGAAAAAGAAGCAGGTGAAAAAACGGCAGGAGAAAGGTCAGTGAGAGAGAGCTTCTGCTTTCTGACACCTAAAGTGCCCCAGCATTATAACAAAAGACTGTAATAAGGGCTATGGGAGTGATAAACTGGGAACTGTGGATGAAAACACACACACACACACACACACACACACACACACATATACAATCTCATAATATCACACCATATTTTTACTATGTTCTCACATGGCTGAAGGGGGCAAATGAGCTCTCTGGGGTCCTTTTTACAAGAGCACTAATCTCATTTATGAGGGCCTCTAACCTGACCTAATCACCTCTCCAAGGCCCTGCCTCCAAATGCCATCACCTTGGGGGTTGGGTTTCAACATATGAATTTTGCAGTGACACAAATATTCAGTGTTTAGCAGGTCTATGGACACAATGAATGGTGTTAATACTTCTAAAATGGGATTAATGGTAGGGCGGCTGACGACATTAATGACAATTATTCATGGAGAACACTAAATGTTCAGAAAATAGGAATTCCTGCTGCTGTCTTTGCTACTGTTCAGCACCCAGAACTTTTCAAATTAGAGGATATCACTGCTTCCATGCACGCTCATGCCCAGAGAGTGACTCTGGCGAAGGCTTTGAGCAATAATGTAAGATAAGATAAGAGCCTGGACCCCCACCTCTCAGATGTGATACAGAAGTGAACAGGGTACTCAACAAGAATTGCTCTCATTTACTGAGCATTTTCGGTGTGCCATGAGCTGTGATGGATACCACATGGCGTCTTTTCATACAATTTTGTCAACAATGCTGTGAGGTGAGTGGAGATGTTGAGGATCGGTGCAATCTATCCCTGCTGGAACTCAGGTCTGTCTGACTCAGAAGTCCATGCTCTTAAAGCAAGCCAAATACTTGTGGAATGTAAAATGCTAACCTCTGAGCACAGCCAGTCTGGGGACTGCCAGAGTGCTCTCTGATGCAGGAAAATACATCTGAGGACAGGGAAGCCGAGTGAGGTGCCCAGAAAAGACAATTTGGAAGGTGCAGGGTGAAAATAGAATCAGTCTCTCTTTCTCTCTACACACATATACACACACATACCATATTTGTGGCATAAAGCTTTCCACTTAGAGTCAGAAAACTTGGATTCGAGTATTTGTTGCTCTTTCACTTACAGGGATGTGAACTTTGGTAAGTCATTTCCCTAGTTTTGCCACCTATAAAATGGAAAGTCAGGTATTTCTCAATTTCTTCATAGAGTAGCACAAAGCTTAAATCCTATAGATAATGGATGTGAATGTTCTTTGTAAGCAGTATAGCAGTATTAATGGTATTTGATTTTTAAAATCACTTATACTCAATATTACCAAGATTTTGGATTGCCTCCTTCCCGGAAGACTTCCCTCCCTTTTCAAAAAATCATGATCATCCTTTTAGCAATGATTCTGTCCCAGAGGACAACCATGTGGATCAGGGAAAGAACAAATTGCCTTAATTTAGTTCCAAAGATATTTGAAGAGATCAATTTCCAGAGTGTTGTCAAGGGGCGAATGTGTGGACACTGAATTTTAGTGAAGAGTAATGGCTCACCTCTGTCAATAGAGGCAACAAGGAGCATGGTGAGGGTGGGAAAGCTGCCAGCCCGTGTAATCTGCAGCTGAGAGAGGAGGCTTCCATTCGAAAGCAAAAAGAGTTAGGTGGAAAAGCTTAGTTCCTGTCTTTTTCTTTTTGGAGAAATGTAATTACTGTGTTGATGTGTTGACCATTCAGGTTTGCTTGTTTTGTAATTATTTCTTCCTTCCTTTTTCTTTGTTTATCCTACCTTAATGGGATAATTAGACCTGCAGGTGCTCATCAAATACAGTGGGTGCCTGGGAACGCACTCCCTGGAGGGTGGGTAAGGCAGGTGCCAAGAGA
This sequence comes from Homo sapiens, assembly GCF_000001405.40. NCBI lineage: Eukaryota > Metazoa > Chordata > Mammalia > Primates > Hominidae > Homo > Homo sapiens. Next base: position 433,465 of record NW_025791769.1, on the reverse strand, counting down.
GGGCCAATGCAGGGGTGCAGGCACAGGGCTGAGCATTATAGCTCTCAGCACTCGTCTGACTTGGACACTCCTTCCTGAGTGGGAGGGTGCACTTGTTAAAGTGTCTGTTTCCGAGATGTGTCTCTGGAGAGCACAGAGTGAGCCAGTGTGAGGTCATCTGGGTCTGCCCCTCTCATCCATGTGGTCTGACCACTTAGCCTTCTGAGTTTCAGTTGCTTCATCTGCAAAATAGTAATAATGATGCCTCCTGCTCCTCAAGGCTGTGGGGAGAATCGCATTCACAATGTATTCTTTTATTCCCTCAAAAGGTCTTAACTGAGCAACTACTGTGTTCCAGGCACTGGGAATATAGCCATGAAAATACAAAGATCTCATTCCCTAGGGAGCTCACATTCTACAAGTAAAATGTATAGCAAGTCAGACAGTGAGGAGTGCTGTGGAGAAGCATATCATGGGAAGCGGACAGGGAGTTTCAGGGGAGGTGGGCACAGTTGCAATTTTCCTTTAGGCCAATAGGAAAGATAACATTTGAACACAGTTCTGAAGTAGGTGAGGGAGCAAGCCAGGTAGATATCTGAGGGAGGAATGTTCAGGATAGGGGAAACAGTAAATGCAAAGTGATGTGATATGTGTGAAAATACCTTATAAATGGTAAAGAATTGTCTAAGAATAGCTGTTGTTATTATAACTCTTAAATACAGATAGCCTGATAACAGAGATTTTTCATCAATATGTATTACTGCCTTGTAGTGCTACAGAAGTCTTTCTACAAGTTCCTATCAAGTCTTAGCAACTGAGCAGTTCACGGAACTCCTCGGAGAAAGGCACAAGACGGTCTCTCTAGCATTTTCACCTTCTTCACAGTATTATTCCTGTAGTAACCGTTTCTTAGGCCATGTTTAAAAGAACTACAGGCAATTAACAAGTCAACTAAACTTAAAAAAAAATGGTCAGACCAGTTTTGCATTCTGTGAACCACAAAGAAAAAAGTAGTTGCTGAATGTTTTTTGGTTTCTGCTTTACTTTTCATTTGGTTGTGCTAGAATGGTGAAGTCTGCCTCCCTAGTATAAAATGTACATTTCTACTGACATTTAAAAAATGGCTCTGAGGGTTTCAGACAGAAGTCTCTCTAGATGTGCAAGAAGTTTCAATTATTCTGTTTGGGAACATTGTCATTTTTTTTTTTTTTTTGAGATGCTTTTTGGTGTCGGGAGGCCTCAGCTAAGACACGTGGGAGAGTTAATGAACAGAATTGATAATGACAGATAGGAAAATTGATTGTCAGACAAGAAATGGTAGGAACATAAGCAGGGAGATCTGTCTAGGGAGATGGAGGATGGGGCTGTCAGTGATGGGAAATAGAGATGGGTTGTGGTAGGGGAAATACTATAGCTACTGACAGAAGACAGTGCCAACCTGAGACTGGGCAATGGAGCTCAAAGGCATATGACCATTTAGGACTTAAGAAGAGAGGCTAATTTCTCATTGCATTGTTTCTGGGCTACTTCTTACCTCCCAAACTCAAATGGATTCAAGGCTGGTAAAGAATGTCAATATGATATTGCTAAGCCTGGCTTTCTCTGTTTAGCCCCTGGATAAGCTTGTTATTCCAAGCTCCTTGTCTTCCAGCCTTCCCATGGCTAGCAGCAAAGACAATTAGTCTTGTGATCTTGCGTTGCTGAGCTTAAAAGAACCTCTTGTCCAACAGTCACGTTGCAATGGAGGATGCCCAATGCCTTGAAACAGAAAGTGACTTTGATCAGGTTCCTATAGGCATTTGATGGAAAATTCAGGACTGGAGCCAAGGTCCAGTCTCCAAGTTAGGAACTTTTAAAAATCATTTCATGTTGTTTGAGAAGAATACTCCATGTTAATATGTGTGATTTGTTGAGTGGCCAATTTGTCAGTGTTTACTCAGTAAACCTACAGAGAGATCCTGTTCTGGCCAGTGTTCAAATGATAACTACACCTACACCTAGACAGTTGGATTCTGAAATATTTGGAAATATGAGCCAAGGAAAGTTGAATGGATAGGGCAAAAAATGCATAGGATAAAGTATGACTTGGAGGACTTGGGTTCACATCCTGACTGATGAGATACTGGCTGGGGGCTTTGGGTCAGGCATAGAACCATGGATGCATATGGTCAGGAAGGAGCTTAATGAATATCTAAGTCAACTCTTCATCATTTCACAGTCGCCTGTGCCATATCTCTGAGCGGTCCTCTGGTCCTGTGATGGTACAGGGGCTCATTTCCAATGACGGCAACTCCAATTGTTGGAAAGGTCATTTTCTTGCCAACCTAAACTCATAAATTCATCTTTAATAAATTTCTCCAATATTACTTCTCTGGACCTCAGTTTTCTTGTTAGAAAATTGCAAATTATATTACCAGTATGTTCTACCTCTCTGATGGGGTACAAGTAAGATTATACAATAAAATACAATAAAAAAGAAGCAGTAGTGATATAGCAAAAAGTGCACTGGAAGTCCCCGCTACCTACTGTGAGACTGAAAAGTCTCTTTGAGCTTCAACTTTATGCTCCATAAAATGGAAATGGGAATACTTGCCCTTTTTCGCTGGCAGGATTTTTGTAAGGATCCAATAGAGAAGATAAGAAAAAGAGGCAATACAATGTAGCCAAAGGAATATTACACTGGAGAAAGAAAAATCTGCCATCAGCTTCCTACATTTAATCACTTTACATTTATGCAGAAATCCTTCAACATTTCTGAGCATTAATTTCCCAACATGCAAGGTAGAGGCATAGTACTTACTTCTTCTTCCTTTTGCAAGGTTGTTAAAATCAAATTATCTATGATTTGCACACCGCCACTCTGGGTGCGTGTGTTAGGTTATGGTTATTCCTCTGTGAGTGTCAGAGAGCCCATGCCTTCCCTCCACATTCCTTACTATGCCATGCTCCTCCAGGGAGTCAGCCCTTATATCAGAGGCCACTGTGACAGTGGCTTCATGTTATCAAGAGTGGGCGATCTTTGCTGGTGTCTGAAAGCCAAGGTAAGCATCTCAGGCAAGCCTTGGGGGTGCTTAGGGCTGAATATTCACTTGTCTTCAGCAGAACAAAAGGCAGCCCTCCATCCTGGCCACATTCATGATGGATTAAAAAGTGTACTCATGTCACTTCTCCTGTGGGCCTCAGATGCCATCTAACTTAGTCATAGTGAAGGTGTTTCATCTAGCACTCGGCCAAAATTCAGACTCAAGCTCTCCAACACTCAATGGATTAAAAAATGTCAGAGCTGAAAGCAACCTTTGATCATCTAGTCTACCTCTGATTGTGTAGATAGGGAATCTAAAGCCCAAGGAAATTCTTACCCCAGAATAAGTCACAGTTAATATCACAAAGAGGCCTAGGACTCAAGGCTCCTCACTCCAGGTGCAGGGCTCTTTGATTCACACCATGCAGTTGCAATTCAACAAATAGTGAGGGCCTACTGTGTTTTAGACACTGGGTCAGACTCTATTAAGTTCCCAAAATGAAAAGGCCTATTCCTGCTTGAAAAAGCTAGAGAGTAATTCAGGTGATTTGCATGCAAATAAACAACTCGAGTCCAACTCTAGTCTAGAAAGGCTTTATCCTATACCTCTTTATATCACTATCTTTCCAAAAGTTAGTGTTGAGCAAAACGGGCCAAATTTCTAACTCTTAAAGCTTGTTTCAATATCTCTAAAATGGGGACATTATGTATTCATTCATTCATTGACTGTCAAATATTTATTAATACCTACATACCACATTATTCATAACTAGGGCTGTACATCATCATTAGAACTTCAACAAAACACGCAAACTCAGGTTCCACCTCCAACAGACATACTGATTTAATAACTCCAGAGTTAGATCTAGAGGATTTGCATCATGAACAAACTAACTCAGGTAACCATGACAAGCAGCCAAGTTGAGAATTCATGGTTTACCATATATGAGATACCGTACCAGACACTAGGATTGTGGAGGTATACAAAGCCTACACTTGCTCTCGAAGAACTCACAGTCTAGTTGGAGGTGGGGAGTCTGGAAAGATGGGTTAACTGGCTATGATATTGCAGTCTGATAAGTGTTATGCCAGAAGCAAACACTAGTGCTGCAGAATATAGCCCTAGGGCACCTAAGTCATCTTAGAGAATTGGGTAAGGCTTTCTGGAGTTGGTTGAGCTGAATCTTTAAGGATATATATGAGTTAGCTATTAATACTTGGATGACCTGGGTGATGTGGGTAGTTCAGGGACAGAGAAAAATAGGAAGACAAAATGTCATTTAATGTGTTCAGAGAATTGCAAGAATGAATGGGAAAGGAGTGGCGAGAGACAAGGCTGAGGAGGAGGGTAGGGGTGAACCCTAGCAGGCCTTTATCCTCTGGGCAATGAGGAGAAGCCAAGGATTTACTTTAAGCAGAGGAATGACATGATTCAGTTTGAACTTCAGCAGATTACTTTGGCAGCTGTGTGGGGAACAAATGGGGAATACATTGGGAAAGACAGAGGGAGAGAGTAGGTTGAGGTAGTGATAGTTCTGCTTGTTGTCTACACCAGACTGTTGGGAGATGCTGTGAGATGATGGGAAATCACTCGATAAATAGTATCCCTCTGCAGAAAAGACACATGTGCCATTACTTTCATTACACTTCACGACTTTGAGCGGAGTCAGGGAGTCACAGTTAAAAAGGAAAGGGACTGAAAAGGTGGTTGGTGGAAGAGTTAGAGGGGAGGAAGGGAGGGAGGCAGGAAGAGGACAGAGGAGTACTTGGTGTCAAATGGTGTTTAAAATATTCTTCTTGCATCACACTAGCTCTTAATTGGTACCAACCACTGAGGGGCTGATTGATCCCAGCAAGAGTCCAGCAAAACAGATAATTTCTTACAAGCATCTGAAATTCATGAACTCTGTGGGGTCCCACACACCAACGCTTTGTTGTTGCTAAAGTCTGAGACTTCCTTGAAGGGATAAGTATCCAGGGGTGGCAGGGTTTTTTATTTTTTCTTTTCAAAATGCAGAATATGTTTATGTAGTTAATGCCTGTGGTCTTGCTGAGCAGATGAAAAGACAATACAGCAAAGAGCTGGGCTACCAAGCTACTTATTAACGTAATGGACTCATTAAAGAGCTGTTATGGCTAGAAGGATGTGTGCCGTAAATCTAATTTTGCATTAAGGCCTTGATATATAAAAGACTTGCTTACCACACACTCAGGGTTTGGGTCAAAGGAAGTTACCCTCTAATGTTGCCTGTCATTTACAACTAGAACATGGGTTCTCTTCAGATTTCTTGGGCATTTATTTGCACAGTGGGAAGGCAGACTACACTTATTGAGAACCTAACTATGTGCCAGGTAGTTTGTCTTTGATTATTTTCCCTTAGAAGCCCTATCAGGATAAATACTTCTCTTTCTCAGATTTGAAAACGAACCAAAAAAGACTACATCATCTGTCCGAGGTCCCACTAGTAAATGCTTTGGAGAGTTATCTGGGCACCAAGACTACAGAGCTTTTGAGTTAAGGCATGGTTTTGGCTGCTCATTGAATTACTTTTACTGACATTGGCATAGTACAGACAAAGCATTTTATTTATTGGAAGTGTGTAGATATCGATCACAACAGTATGCTCTTTATGACGACTTTCAGGTCTCAATACTGGGATATACTTGCTGTTTCTGGAAGCCAGTTTGTGTTTGTCTCCTAGAGAAAACTTGATATATCAGAAAGTTGTGGAACTAATGCGCAAGGCCTTGGCACCCTGTTAGATTAAATAGGACATTAGGAAATTCTTTGCGGATGCTAACCCTACCCTGGGTTTCCCCTTATTTTGTTATTGAATGTTTTTCTAATCTATTTACTGTAACAACAACAATGATGACATACACAACAACAAAAACCTTCTCCTTATTCTTACGGTGTTGAACAGGCTGCCTCATTTTTCTCTTGGTGTGTTTAATCTTCAACTCACACATGCACACACACACACACATGCCTCTTTCTGTGCTGCTTTTTTTACACTATGCCCTGGGACAGATTGTGTGTATGTGCATTTGTGGTACAAGTGTCCTTATTAATTCCAGGTAGATCCATGGTGAAGGCTAACACATCCTGTTGAAGTTAGTTAGTGACTTTATGACAAATATCCGCCTGCTGTTAAAAATGTGATATCATGCAACACAATCTTTAGATGTTTGTTCTCGGTGACGTGAAAGCGAGTACTGATTTTTTTCTCCTTTGTAAACCATTTGGTTGTCATGTAGACTCAAGCCTTTTAAAGAGAATAACAGAAACACCCTGTTAATTTGTCATGGAAACGGATGAATCTGGACCTCACAGTCCATTAGGGAGACAGACATGTATGCAGATAAATTATGATCAACGTGATGCAATAAGGATACGATTCTAGTTATAGAGGACTACCTTATAGTTTACATCACTTTCTCGTATCTATTAGTTTATTTGATCCTCACAATGTGGTGGCCATGCCAAGAATGAAAATCCTGTTTCACAGATGGGGAAATGGAGGAACAGAGAATTACATGTCCTGTTTGGCCTGAGTCATAGTTGAGAATTAAACCAGTGCACTTTCTCTCTTACATAGTGCTCATTGCTTGCCGAGTCAGAAAGAGATTCTTTTATGCTTGACTCTAGGAAAGCAAGCAAGACACTAAAAACTTGATAAAAGAACAAACAACAGAACAAGTTGGTTTAATAACAGATTTATTTCCCGTGTCAAGTGTTCTGCCATTTTCACAATACTCATCAATTTCCCAGAGCATCTGAGCAGAAAGATCATCCATTCTGGCTTCTGTGAAATAGATTTGCATCTTGATTCTTTCTAGACCTTTCTCACAAAGAGTAGGCCCCATTTATGGTGGTTCCTCATTACTCGGATGGATGATGTGTTCAGCTGTAAGGACACTGTTATTATAAATAGCAAAATGGCAATTAATACTCTCCTCAACTCTTACGAGTTAGAAGCCTCCCAGGAACATCCATTTCAGGAACTTTCATTTCAAAGGAAATGCCGTCAATAGGAAATAGTTATTTAATTTCCAAGCAGGCTGAGAGCTTTTCTATTTAAAAGCTTCTACACAAATATAAGTGGATTATTATATTAATCATTTTTAATAAGGCAGTTGAGGCAAGAAACTGCCACAGAATAAAAACAAACCAGAAAACCCACCCCACATCAAGAAAAGCACGTTTTAGGCAAATCTTAACAAATGAGACCTTGAGTTTTGCTGCCCCCTGCCTGTGGCAGATGTATTTGCTAGGAAGCCCTGTGCCCTTATTTGGCCACCCCCATGTCTTGTAGTGCAGTAGAGAGAAGAACCATGAGCCTGGTATGGCAGAAATTTTGTGAAGTTTGGAGCCAGACTCTGAGACAGACTCTGATTATCAGAGAGTAATCCTTTGTGAAGATAATGTTACTAACATCATTGGACCAGAGAAAAAGATGCCTCTTTCTAGACAATCCATTTTCTCTCCATCAGAGTAGTTGCTGTGAGAAAAAAGGTTGTAAAGCTTTTGAAAGCAGCTAGCTACCTTGGAAGGTTTTATTCACTAAGCAAAAGGCAAACTCCATTTTGAAGTTGTCAGCATGGGCCAATAATGATATTTAGATAAACTCTACTACTGGTGAATTAAAAATTGGTGTAATAGATTTATTGATTTCCAGAGAGTTTCAACTGAGGCAGCTTCAATTTTTATCATTGGATTTCTTCACAAACTCTGTGCTGTCATCCCAGGTAAAGTGATCCCAGCTTAATCGACAATTGTCTTCTTATAGACATTTTATGTAGGAGATGCTGCTTATCACTCACAGCCACACTGCAAGGAGGACATAAATCTCTAGTAATGCATGTGGACCTTTTCACATACTTGAAGGGGGTAGATGCTCACACACATCCCAGCCCACTTCCTTTAGAACGCAACCACACACTGAAGAAAGAGCTATTTGAAGTGTAGAACTGCCCACTATGGGCTATTCACGAAACTTGCAGTGAGCCAAACTTCTCTTTTGCAATAATTTAATCAAATGCATGCAATGGTTTGTCTTTAGAGGACTTCAAAATGATGTCAGATGAACACTTAGGGATGCTGGCTAGAGGGTTCAACTCTAAGGTTTCCTCCAACCCTGAGGTTTTATTATAACATTATCCTATGCTTTCTAGCTCTAGCTCTGCTCTTGATTTTGGTAATCTGAGTAAATAAATTGGAAAGTCCTTTCTGACTTGAGAATTTTACAGCTCTTCTGTTCTTTGAGATCAGTGGAAAGCATTATCTTGCCGATAAATTCCTTGGAGACATGTCACACTCACCTTGGCACAATTGATCATTTCTTTCTTAATAGAAAGTCAACATTTTCTTCATGAGAAGAGTTATTGGTATAATATATTTTCTGAAATCTCCAGGACTCAAGAAATAAAAGATTCTTTTTCATATCCTTTCAGTATAAGGAAGGATTTCTTAATTATCAATATAAACCCAGGCCAGAAAATGGGGAATATGGAGATAATAAACAAAATTCACCCCAATTCCATCATCATAACCCAGCTATTAAGGCTTGTCCACCTTGTCCATGACATATCCATAGTGTCTTGAACAGTGCCTTGCCCATAATAGGGCCTTAGTGCTATTTGGTAAAGGAATTAGTGAATGAATTATAATTTTGATATATTTTCTTTTAACCCTTTCCCTCATGCATATTTTTCATAGCTATATTCATAACATTTATGATGGCTTTTGTACCTTGCTTTTTCTTTGTTTTATGTGCCATTATAGAAAACATGCTCACTGGGGCCATATAGTCCTCTTAATCATCGTCTCTAATGGCTAAGTAATATAGCGAGCACTTTCTAACGTAGCTGCCTAAAGATTCAGTGTGTTGCTTACAGAACTAGTGTTTTCCTTAACCCTAGCAGTGTTCACGCATAGGCTGGATACTCATGTATCAAGTATGAGTTGAACTAGATGCATGGCTTTAAGACCACTTTCCAGTCTAAGACTTACAAACTTTGAGGACCAGTCATTTTGCAAAAACTAACAGGCTTTCACAAAACATCACTATCAGGAATACAAGCATTTCCAAGAACCACCCCTTCCCACTCACACATCATATTCCTTGATACCCACTACTAAGTTTGTAATGTAAATTTGAAAAACTATGGAGCGTTACTTCCTTAGAAATAGCCACTAGTTCAGAATTTCTTTTGGATTAACAAGTAATAAGGAAATTCCTATGTGTCAAGTACATTTTGAGATGACTAAACCTCAATCTCTGATCTCAGAGTATTCAGTTAGCAGTTATTAACGCTGTATTAGACATTGAGCATACAAGGATGAGAAAATACCTCTGTCCTGTGGAACTCAGAATTGACAATGAGAGGAAGGAGTTGAGGACTGAGAATAAGAAAATAACCAAGAGAAAATAAGGTAAATGCTACAGAAGAGTCATGTGGAAGGGGCTGCCTTGACTCCCAAGAGAGCTAAGTTAATTCTGCATAATGGAGTAATATCTGAGGTCAGAAAGCCAAGACATGTAGACTAACAACATTTAACAAGGAAGAAAGAGCTAAATGTCTCAAGAGAGGATGGAGGAAAGTGGGAGGTTTTTGTTTTTTGTCTGTTTGTTTGTTTGTTTTTCCGAGAGGTGTCCAAGAGGGATCCAATGCCACGGGATATCCAATTACACTTCGACAAGGTTTATGACTGGATGTGAGGATGGTAAAAGGGTTCCATTATGATAGAATAAATCCAGTAAATAGTGTCTGTGTTTAGATCCCCAGGACACAGTGTTTGCCTTTGTTTAATGGTTTAACTTTTTACTTGTTTTCCCTTTCTTTTTTTTTTTTTTTTTTTTTTTGCCTTTTCGTAGCCAGAGGAAGAATTTGCAGCAGCCAGCACACCAGCGGCTCTGGTGTTGGCTTGGGAATGCATAAGTGAAACTGGTCCACCTTCAGCTATGCTCTCCTTCCTTTGGAGCCAGACCAGCCAACCTGGAATCAGCACTGAAATTATGCCCAGAGCCTCCTCCCTGCTGCTGCATGCCAGGCAGCCCCTGTCTTGCCTGGCCTAATGTACCTCTCTGGGAGACAGTGTGCACTGGCATTTCTGCCCAATGGGACATTACCTGCCTGGGCCTCCGGTAAAGAGCAAATCACTGTTAGAAAATTTGAAATGGTTGCAGAACTCAGGAGCAGATGGCCTTCTCTCTCCACTGGGAGGGAAGAGACGAACCCCAGAGGAGAAAGAGAAGTTTTCTCTTTCAGAATGGCAGAAAAATGTATCTTCATAGAAGCAGCCATAGATGACCATGGCAGGCAGTGCTCTTGGAGAAGGTCCATGGTAACTGCCTGTGATATAGAAGTGGACAAGGGAGGCCACAGCAGAAAGTGGCCCATACATACCCTGGTTCATGCCAGGCCAGAGCCCTGAGGGTGCTAACAGGGACCCTGAGCTTAGAGGTAGAAAACCTCAGTCCTAGCCTTCTGATTCCAGATTAAATAAGATAGTGATAATAAAAAGTAATAACAGCAAACATATAGAGCCTTTTTTATGCACTAGGCCCTGTTGTGAGTGCTTTTACATACATAAATTCTTTATTCTGTTTAGTCTTTGTAGCAACTTTATGAGGTAGAAACAATTGCAATCCCCATTTTAGAGAAGATCTATGAAAATAATGCCTGTAGAAGAATAAAAGCTTCTTTATATGAAGCACAGAGTGTTAGTTCTAGTAAACCTCCCAGGGCTTTTGTGGGGTTCAGATGGGATCACATCTGTGAAGCACTTTAAAGTGCTGTCCATACATGAGAGAGTCCCATTGCATCATGGTTTCTCCTGCATTTTCCTTGTCCATTTGTTGTGAGCAAATGGTAAATGGCATAAAGCCAATACTGCAAGAGAAATCAATGGAAGAGACCCAGCACCCCGTGAGTGATTGCAAAGGAAGGAAGATGGAGTAAGTGCCAGGAGGACAGCCCAAAGAAGCTTTAAAAAACACAAAAGCAAAAAACCCATAACCTTCTTTTCTGATTGAGAGTAGGGTGGAGGTCAGGAAAAAGCCTCTAGGGGAGATTGCTTCAAAATTAAACTTCAAAGGGTCAATAACTCTGTGCTGTTCTGCCTTCTTCCCAATAATGACCTACCACTGAATATCCTGTGAATTCTTTCTTTTTTATTTTGTGTTTTTGGTATTTTACAGCATTTTAAGAATGTGTTTGAAGCCCCAAATGAAAACAACTCTATCAGTCCTATTTGGTCATCACAAGCAGACTTAAGCTGCACAAACTTCCAGGGGCACCATTATCTGTTTATGAACAACAGGCAATCAGGCCAATGAACCATGTTATTGTCATTCCTCTCATGTCTCTCAAATCATTTTTCATCTTGACTAATCAGGAGATAAAGTTGATCCTTCTCCACTTTCCACCTCCATACTCATTTCAGTTCCCTGCAGTTTCACGCTGGGCTGGGCTGTTTGAAATCTAGTATAAAACACCCGAGAAGAGCTATAATTTTCAAATTTGCCCATGGGTAATGTGTGTAGTAAATGTAAAGTACTAGCAATTTGGTTGTTTGAGATGCAATGATTTTTTTTTTTTACATCAATGTGCAGGGTCTGAGGCAGGCACAAGTTTCCAGAGGCAATATATATCACTGCTGGCCAGACCCCTGGGAGTCCATGAGGGTCACCCAAACAAGAAAGGGAGGAGGCAAAGTGAGGAAACCAAGGGCCCCCTCAATGCTGATCCCTGTGGAAGTTTTAACACAAGACAGCACGAGGGGGTGCCTACAGGGGAACTACTGGCTGGTTACCTTGAGGGGTCCTAAAGGATGCCTTCCTTCCCTCAGAGGATTGACCATGGCCTGGTATCTGACCCCCAATCATGTAGGCTCAGGATTGATTTTATTACCGCCAGGAGTGTGTGCTCTTCCAGGGCAGACTCATACTAGCCAAACTCACAATGCTGATGCACAAAACTACAGCTTCTCAAGGAAGGACCATGGCCACAAGGCCCAGACCACATACATCAGTATGCCAGAGCTGTCTCTTCACAGAAGAAAGCCTCCCTGGGAAGCTAAACCTTAATCAGGAGGCTGCTCGCTGAGAATGAATTCATATCAAGAGGAATCTCACAAGGAAAATAGTGGCATCAGGCTGTCCATCCAGCAAAGGCCTAGGTCTGGACTCTAATGATTTTCCCTCCCCAAGACAATGCTTGCATGGACACTAATAGTTCTCCTCTCTGTGACATTCTTTAGTGATGCATTTCTGACTAGCCATCCCATTGTCCACGTTGGCTGAGGCACCAAGTTCTGGAAAATCCTGTCTCTGTGGTTTGAACTGCTTGATGTTTACATCAAGCAGAGTGAACAACTCTGCTTCCCAGACTTTAGAAGAGTCATGTCTCTCAGCTTTTTGGCTGCCTTGCCTGTGAAGGGAGGGGTTGTTGGTGGACTCATTGTGGGATAGAATTTAGTCCAGGGAAGGGGTCTAATGGTCAATACTTTGACCCTAAATTTTCTGGTTGATTTGGCTGCAGATTTTCTGGGTGACTGTATGACCTTTAGTAAGTTAATGTCTCTGAAACTGTGACTGTATTTTTGTGTTAGCAGCTAGGAAGTGGAGAACAAAATCTGTGGCTTTTTCTGGCAACAGTGTAAGATCATGTGGCACACATTAACTGTGCTGATCTGAGGATCTCTGGCTTTTTGTTTTTGTTTTTTTTTCCTACAATCTGCTCAACAATTGTTTTATACTTTTATATTTTTGTAAGCTGTCTCATACAAGCCTCATTCCCTAAACAGAATTGAGAGCTCAAAAATCTCAATGTGCATGCTGGCAATGAATTTCTATATATAAAAGAGAAATAGCTGCAAATTTCTTGGGACACTTGAGAAAGAAAATGTAATTTTGTGAAGCTATTTGAACTCCTCAGATAGAAAATGCTATTTTATAGTCCTATGTGAGTGCAATTGCCTTATCTATGAGATTTGGCTGAACTTCTTGCATATGAGGGAGAAAAATGGTGAAGATGGAATGGGAGTGGGGAGGACTTTATGCACAAGAAGGACTTTGTGCACATTGGGAGGACTTTATTGATGGGGGCAAACTTCATGTGTATCTCCTGGGTACAAGGGGAGTGTAAGGAGGGGCAAGAGAGTTAGAAGTCTCAGAGAGTCTCCGATTGAAAATGAAGGAATTCAGGGAGGAGCTTTCTAGGAACCTTATTTCTTATCATTGGAAATGTGAAGCTCCTTGCTTCATGGGGTTTACAGACTGGTTGCTTCCCTGTGTTGGGACCATGGAGATACCTGGCCCAAATTCACTGCAAAAATGAAGAAACTAAGGTCAAAAGACAGGATGTAACTCGCTCAAAATCACCAACATTTAGCAGCCAAACTCGGGTAGAATCTGGGCTGGGGGGTCTTACAGCACAGCTCATTTTCTCCAGGCTCATGCCTGACACTTCTCCTACCTATTTCCAGTTTACTCTCTGTTTAATTCTGCACTATGAATGTACCATTGTCCTTCCCTCCTCTCAATCCCAGATTGGAGACAGAAAGATGTCTTCAAGGAATACTTTACAACAGACTAGCTTTATGTATTTCATTTAGGGAATAACTTCAGTGGCAAGTAAGATTTAAAAAATGGCATAGATAACATATAGAAATCTGTTTTTCTATCAAGCAATGAAAGACTCAGAGGTGGACAATCTATTGCTGGCACATCACCCATACATGTCGATGGTGATCCTAGGAACTCCTATGCAGCTCAGCCGTCCTTTGTGTTTATGTGACCTACGATGGTCTCAGGATGCCTGCAGGAGCACCAGCCATATTATTATTCTAATTAAGAAGCATAGAGAAGGGGTTCTGAGCGATCATCATGACAGATGGGAGGCAGAACTAGATTGCAGCTTTGACTCAAATGGACAGAGCAGGGTGTGAAGGCTCATATCATGAATTTTAGCTCCAGAATGACTGCAAGAACAAACCAGGAATCCTGAGAGGACCCACAGACCCTCTGAAGGAAGCCGACTGCTTGTGCAGGACCTGGGAGACATCCCAAATACTGTGAATGCCTCAACTGCAAAAGTGGGAAAGGGAGAACCTCCATCCCTGAACATACACCTCCACTGGGGAAAATGAAAGTCTAGTTTGCAGGAGAAGTTTCCTACCTTAGCTGGAGCTGAGTCAATTTAGAGAGCTGAGTGAAATGCAGAGGTAGAGGAAGCAGTGGGAAAGGTCCTGGGAGCTTGCTGCATCCCCAAACAGGCCATTCCTGCCTGGCACCACAGAGATCCTTTGGGAGGGTGGCCAGAGGCATGGGGGGAAATGCCACAGGGAGAAGAAAGTCTCCAGCTGAATTTGTAACAATTTGAACCGGGCAAGAAGCCTCCTGGCCAGAACTCCAGGGAGGGTGCAAATCCAGTGTGCAGACTCCACAGGCTGGGGAAGAGCCAAAGTCCTGTTCTTTCGAAGCTGGGAGGCGGGTAGCCTGGGGCAAGTTCTTAGCCCTGCTTGCCCACTGCCTGGAAACAGACTCAGTGCTGTTTGCTGGGGGCATGGTGGGAGTGAGACCAGCCCTTCAGATTGTGTGGGAGCTGGGAGAGGGCTGTGACTACTGGCTTTCCTCCACTTCCTTGACAACCTGCATGATTCAGCAGAGGCAGCCATAATCCTCCTAGGTACGCAACTCCAGTGATCTGGGAATCTCACCTCAATCCCCCACAGCAGCCACAGAAAGACCTGCCTAAGGAGAGTCTCAGCTCAGACATGCCTATCATTGCCCCCACCTGATGAGCCTTCGCTGTCCACCCTGGTAGCTGAAGACAAAGGGCATATACTCTTGGGAGTTCTAGGGCCACATCCACCACCAGTTCCTCTCCATAATACCACAGCTAATGCTCTCTGGAAAGCACCACCTCCTGGCAGGAGGCCAACCAGCATAAAAATAAAATATTAAACCACCAAAGCTAAGGACCCTCACAGAGTCCATTTCATCCCCCTGCCACCTGCACCAGAACAGGTGCTGGTATCCATGGCTGAGAGACCCATAGACAGTTCACATCACAGGACTCTGTGCAGACAAGCCCCAGTACCAGCCTGGAGCCAGGTAGACTTGCTGGGTGGCTAGACCCAGAAGAGAGATAACAATCACTGCAGCTCGGCTCACAGGAAGCCACATCTATAGGAAAAGAAGGAGAGTACTACATCAAGGGAGCACCCCATGGGACAAAAGAATCTGAACAATAGCCTTCAGCCCTAGACTTTCCCTCTGACAGATCCTACCCAAATGAGAAGGAAACAGAAAACCAACTCTGGTAATATGACCAAAGAAGGCTCTTTAACACCCCTCAAAAACCATACCAGCTCATCAGCAATTGATCCAAACCAAGAAGAAATCCCTGATTTACCTGAAAAAGAATTCAGGAGGTTAGTTATTAAGCTAATCAGGGAGGCACCAAAGAAAGGTAAAGCCCAATGCAAGGAAATAAAAAAAAGACAATATAAGTAGTGAAGGGAGAAATATTCCAGGAAATAGCATAAAGAAAAAAAATCAAAACTTCAGGAAATATTGGACACACTTATAGAAATGCAAAATGTTTTGGAAAGTCTCAGCAATAGAATCGAACAAGTAGAAGAAAGAAATTCAGAGCTCAAAGACAAGGTCTTGGAATTAACCCAATCCAATAAGACAAAGAAAAAAGAATAAGAAAATATGAACAAAGCCTCCAAGAGGTCTGGGATTATGTTAAACCACTAAACCTAAAAATAATTGGTGATCCTGAGGAAGAAGAGAAATCTAAAAGTTTGGAAAACATATTTGGGGGAATAATCGAGGAAAACTTCCCCAGCCTTGCTAGAGACCTAGACATCCAAATACTAGAAGATCAAAGAACACCTGGGAAATTCATCCCCAAAAGATCATTGCCTAGGCACATTGTCATCAGGTTATCTAAAGTTAAGACAAAGGAAAGAATCTTAAAAATTGTGAGACAAAAGCACCAGATAACCTATAAAGAAAACCTATCAGATTAACAGCAGATTTCTCAGCAGAAACCCTACAAGCTAGGAAGGATAGGCGCCCTATCTTCAGCCTCCTCAGACAAAACCATTATCAGCCAAGAAGTTTGTATCCAGCGAAACTAAGCATCATATATGAAGGAAAGATACAGTCTTTTTCAGACAAACAGATGCTGACAGAATTTGCCACTACCAAGCCACCACTACAAGAACTGCTAAAAGAGCTCTAACTCTTGAAACAAATCCTGGAAACACATCAAAACAAAACCTCTTAAAGCATAAATCATACAGGACCTATAAAACAAAAGCACAATTTAAAAAGCAAAAACAAGAAACAAAATAAACCAAGGTACACAGACAACAAATAGCATGATGAATACAATGGTATCTCACATCTCAATGCTAACATTGAGTGTAAATGGCCTAAATGCTCCACTTAAAACATACAGAACTGCAGAATGGATAAGAACTCACCAACCAACTATCTGCTGCCTTCAGGAGCCTAACCTAACATATAGGGATTCACATAAACTTAAAGTAAAGGGGTGGAAAAAGGCACTTCATGCAAATGGACACCAAAAGCGAGCAGAGGCAGTTATTCTTACATCAGACAAAACAAACTTGGAAGCAACAGCAGTTAAAAGAGACAAAGAGGGACATTATGTAATGGTAAAAGGCCTTGTCCAACAGGAAAATATCACAATCCTAAACATAAATGCACCTAACACTGGAGCTCCCAAATTTATAAAACAATTACTAATAGACCTAAAAACTGAGATAGACAGCAACACAATAATAGTGGGGGACTTCAGTACTCCACTGACAGCACTAGACAGGTCATCAAGAGAGAAAGTCAACAAAGGAACAATGGATTTAAGCTATACCTTGGAACAAACGGACTTAACAGATATATACAGAACATTTCATCCAACAACCACAGAATGTACATTCTATTCAAGAGTGCATGGAACTTTCTCCAAGATAAATCGTATGATATTTATGATATCTATATGATAAGCCATAATATGATAGATAGACCATATGATAAGCCATAAAATGAGCCTCAATAAATTTAAGAAAATTGAAACTATATTGAGCACTCTTTCAGACCACAGTGGAATAAAACTGGAAATCAGCTCCAAAGGGAAGCTTCAAAACCATGCAAGAACAACCTATCAAAAGCTCTGGGATACAGCAAAGGCAGTGCTAAGAGGAAAGTTCATAGCCCTAAATACCTACATCAAAAAGACTGAAAGAGCACAAACTTGACAATCCAAGGTCACACCTCAAGGAACTAGATAAACAAGAATAAACCAAACCCAAACCCAGCAGAAGAAAGAAAATAACCTGAGAAGAACTAAATGAAATTGAAACAAACAAACAAAACATAATACAAAAAATAAATGAAACATAAAGCTGGTTCTTTGAAAAGATAAATAAAATAGACCATTATCAAGATTAATCAAGAAAAGAAAGAAAATTCAAATAACCTCATTAAGAAATGAAATGAGAGATATTACAACTGACACCACTGAAATACAAAAGATCATTGAAGGCTACTATGAACACCTTTACACAAATAAACTGGAAAACCTAAAAGAGAAGGATAAATTCCTGGAAAAATACAATCCTCCTAGCTTAAATCAGGAAGAATTAGATACTCTGAACAGACCAATAACAAGCAGCAAGATTGAAATGGTAATTTAAAAATTACCAACAAAAAAAGTCCAGAACTGGATGGATTCACAACAGAATTCTACCAGACATTCAAAGAAGAATTGGTACCAATCCTTTTGTCACTATTCCACAAGGTAGAGAAAGAGGGAACCCTCCCTAATTAATTCGATGAAGCCAGCATCACGCTAATACCAAAACCAGGAAAGGACATAACCAAAAAAGAAAACTACAGACTGATATCCCTGATGAACATAGATGCTAAAATCCTTAACAAAGTACTAGCTAATCGAATCCAACAACACATCAAAAAGACAATCCACCATGATCAAGTGGGTTTCATACCAGAGATGCAGGGAAGGTTTAACAAATGCAAGTCAATAAATGAGATACACCACATAAACAGAATTAAAAACAAAAATCACATGATCATCTCAATAGATACGGAAAAAGCATTTGACAAAATCCAACATCCTTTATGATTAAAACTCTCAGCAAAATTGGCATATAAGGGACATATCTTAATGTAATAAAAGCCATCTATGACAATCCCAAAGCCAACATAATACTGAATGCGGAAAAGTTGAAAGCATTCCCTCTGAGAACTGGAACAGGACAAGGAAGCCCACTCTCACTACTCCTCTTCAACATAGTACTGGAAGTCCTAGCCAGAGCAATCAGACAAGAGAAAGAAATAAAGGGCATCCAAATTGGTAAAAAGGAAGCCAAACTGTCACTGTTTGCTGAAAATATGCTCGTTTATATGCTGAAAATATGGCATTTTCAGTGACCTGGATGAGACTGGAGACTATTATTCTAAGTGAAGTAACTCAAGATTGGCAAACCAAACATTGTACGCTGTCACTGATATGTGGAAGCTAAGCTATGAGGATGCAAAGGCATAAGAATGATACAATGGACAATGGATTTTGGGGACTTGGGGGGAAGGATGCAAGGGGGAGCAGGGATAAAAGACTACAAATAGGATGCAGTGTATACTGCTCAGGTGATGGGTGTACCAAAATCTCACAAATCACCACTAAAGAACTTAGTCATGTAACCAAATACCACCTGTACCCCAACAATGAATGGAATTTTTTTAAAGAAGCATAGAGAAGGGTAAGAAACACAGTAACATGTGCAATCTTATTCAGACTCCTTTAAAGAGCTTCTTAGAACCAGCTCCCTACAAGTGACTATGTTACATGTCTACTTCAATCATAAGGGAGGCTGGGAAGTATAGTTTTTAGCTGAGTATTTTATTGACTGAATAAAATTGGAGTCTATTCTAAGGAAGAGAGTAGGGTGGATATTAAGCAGAGAACTTTCATTCTCTGCCACTTTTATGACCACGGGTAAATTAATTAACCTTTTAAAGTTTACTCATCTATAAAGTGGAAATTAAATAAGGTCGAATATGAAAAGTACTTAGCAAAGTATCTAGCACGGAGGAAATGCTAAAAAATGTAGACTATCCAGAATATAGAACAGTATTAGCTTTTTTATAAGACATAAAAAATTTCCCACTGTCATTAAGGTAGAAGTGAGAACTATTTTTGGAAGGAGGAAAGAAGTTATAAAATTTGGAAGGCAGATATTTTATTTCCTTTTCTAGCCAGCACGTTGGGTGATGAATTTTCTGAGGTGTTCTGGAAGCTTTTGTTCTTCAGGGGACCTGTGTCACATTTAGGAGAATTACAAAAGCAAAGGTGGTCCTCTGCTCAGCCATCACCTCTTCCCAGAAGATGTCTCTGAACCATCAGGCTGGGCTAAATGCACCTCTAGGAAATTCTCTCTTTACATGTCTGCCTCTCCCTGGTTATGAGCTATTGAGAATAAGCACTGTGTCTTAGTCACCGTCATCTTCCAAGAGCCCAGCGCAGTACTAGGAGCATGGTAGAAAGTCAATAAATGCATATTACATTGGGAGTAGCGGCTTTGGGCTAACTCCTTTAATATCTTCCTTGGCCAGATGCAGAGAAAACTTAAAGCTTTCATTCCTAAAATGCTTCTCTGTTGGAGAAGTCTTCTGAAAAATGAGACAGGCATTCAAGTTTCTCCGTGCTACACTCCATCAGGGAATGTGCAAAGCCCCAAAAAGCCTTCAAGTTATAACTGAAAATTACAAAGATGAAAAGATGGGCATGATACTGATATTTTTGGGATCATGGCCCTGGTAAGTGTCCCTGGGAGTTAGTATTGTACAGGGGATTCACACTGAACCTAGAAACAGTTCTTGGGTCTAAATTTTGATTCTGCTACTTGGTTACTAGGATAACGGAGGAGACCAAGTTAATATTTCATCTTTGTGGGGGGCAGCTAAAAACTCTCATGGATGGGAAGAGCTTTGCACTGAATGTGAAGGACCACCATGGCTGTGACTGGTGGTACTCATGAAACCATTACTGGCCTCTAATATTCACCTTACTGAATGTATTAGTTTGCTAGGGCTGCTGTAACAAAGTACCACAAACTTAGTGGCTTGAACAACAGAAATGTATTGTCTCACAATTCTGGAGGCTGGAAGTCGGAAATCCAGACATCGGCAGAGTTGGATCCTTCTGAGGGCTGTAAAAGAGAATCTGGTCCATGCCTCTCCCCCGTCTTTTGGTGGCTTGCTGGCAACCTTTGTTGTTCCTTGGCTCATAGAAACATCACCCTTATCTCTGCTTTCATCTTCACATGGCGTTTTCCCTGCACATGTCTGTTTCCATCTTCAAATTTCCCCTTTCTATAAAGACACCAGTCATATTGGATTAGGGTGCACTCTAAGGACCTAATTTTAACTTGATTGTCTTCGTGAAGGGTCTCCCTCCAATTAGCATTACATTCTAAGGTTCTGGGAGTTAGGATTTCAACATACAATTTTGGGGGACATAATTTAACTCATAACACTGGGGATTGTGAAAGGTCAATAAATGAATAAATAGGTTATTCTTGATCTGAAGATGAAACTCTGAACTTTAACTCCATTTAGTTCCTGGTGAATGTGGAGGCTACAGCCACCTTTTCTAATTCAAATTTCAGTACTTGCTAACTCTGTCCTGTTTAACTTCTTGAGTGTCAGTTTTCTCATCAATAAAATGAGAATCTTAAAAACATTCTGCTAAGTTTGTTGAGATTATCACATGTGATGGCATATGATAAATGACCACTCCCTTTCTTCACAGCACTGTGAGATAAAGTTGAGAGACCAGAAAAGGAGTGGTGGTGGGCGCTAGGCTTCATAAAGCAGTGATGTTACTTTTTCTAACTATATTGTTTTTGTGAAGAGCTATTTGAGTTTGACGCTTTGGAAACGGAAAGCAAGCAGTCAGAAAGCTTTTTGAGCTGACAAGAGACAAGCTCTTTGATAATCCATCATCTTAAATTACCTACCCTGGATCATGTCCTGCTATTTTTGCCGATGATATCACCAATAATGACTTCTATTAACTTTCAATGTGCCTTTTTTATAAAGAGATGATTCGTAAATAAAAATATCCTCCCAGACTCTGTTGATGACCTTGAAAACTATGAGATTTGATTTATCATTCCAATACTTTGCACTTTTACAATACATGATCAAAATACGCCGAAAAAGGAAGCTTGAATAAGTGACCTCGTTGTGATGAAGTGGAAGATGACTCTGAAATAATATAATTCAATCTCCGCATTTTTCAGATGAGGAAACTGAGGAACAGATGAGGAGACTTTCCTGAGGTTGCCCAGCAGGCGGAACCTGGACTTGAACCAGGGAGTCCCACCTCCCAGTCTTTACAAGTTCCTTTACTTTGTGCTCTGGGCTAATTAATGTTTTAGGCAGGGCCATTTTTGCTTCCTGGGTCTCAGTTCCCACTTGTAAGAGGGACCGGAGCAAGATTCTGTTCTGGCATTGCTTCACAGAGCCACAATCAGGCAACTCCCACATGTCCATCCTGCTCCTCAAAGCAGCAGGTCCTCCCTCCTCTCCTGCTCAGCCCACCACCCTCGTGTCTGAGCCCTGTGGCAGCACAAGAAGGCAGAACCTGACCCAGCTTATAGTGGTGACCTTCAACTTCATCCAGAAATCAGTGGCTCTGAAGGAGTGTTCCCTGTGATAAATAACAACACACAAAACTAAACCATGTTAGTGAAAATGGCTATTGTGCAGTGGAGTGTGTAAACGCTCTTCAGACTGTGGCAAATTGGAATCCCGCCCATCTTGCTAGTGAAGTAACCTTGGTCAAGTTAGATTAAATCAAACTAAGCCAAGTTACTCAATTGTTTCATTAGTACTGACAATAAAAATACCTAAGGTAGAAGGTTGTTGTGAGTATTAAATGAGATAACATAGGTAAAGCACCTACAGAAGACCTGGCACATGGAAAACACATTAGTAAAGGTATTTTACAAGAGAAAATCGAAGTGATCCAGTGGTTCTTAGCCTGTTCTAGATGTGCTGGAAGCGATCTCCCCCACAATACACTTACATGTGCAAACGTACAAACAATCTGGGGAGGGGGGTGTTATAATATTCCTGAGACCCATATGGAGACCTTATGGGCCATGATTTCTGCTTAAGAACTCCTGAAGAAAACTCTGTAAGGCTGTGCTTTATTAGTTATTCAGTGACATTTCTTAAGTTTGCCTGACAACTAGAGAAGCACTATCTAGATGTTCCATAAATCAACTGAATCATAATGTTGTACGAATAATACTCTTTGGCAAGGGCCCGAAATAGAGTAAGAGTAGGAACTTTGACGGGAGAAATAAAAAGTCCCAAATTTCACATTAACTGAGAATCCAGTTAGCAGTTATCCAAAAATAAGAAATAAAGTGCCTCATTATGATTCTACAAAATTAGAAAAAGCCAAATGTGAGATGTTAACAGTTTTTAGAGTCTGAATCCCAGAGATGTCAAAGTGATCTCTTGGACTCCTGGCCGTGCTGACCATGACCCTGACAGTGACTATGACCATGGCCCTCCATTTGCATGGGATGTGCCTGCCCAGGGCTGCCCAAGCCCCACTGCTAATAGAAGTGCTAGGTTGTTTTGTTCCCCAAGATGCCCTTTGTGGAATTAGCAAGAATCCATTTAACTAGTTGGCTCATTTGTTTGTTTTCAAGAATCTGTAACCAACTCTTTTCTGAAGAGACTGTGCTCCACTTACACACTCCTTGTTGATAGCACAGACATTTACTAAGACCCCCTATGTGCAGAACTATGTGGTGAGCTGTGTTTTGAGGGATGCAAAGAGAAACGGTCCTTTATGTTTGTTTTTAGTGTAAACTGAATTTTCTGGTTTACACTCTTTCTGTTGCATGCTCCTCCTGGCTACACTTTCACTCCAATTATTTTATTTGCAACACTCAGAAAGATTGTGAGAAATGTCTGATGGTGCTTTTTATTCCTACTTTACAGATAAGCCTGAATGCACGTTACTCTGGGCCATAGTAAAAAGAAAGTTTATGTACCCTTATTTCAAATGCAACCACTTTCCACTGTACAGAATTGCCCTCCACTTGCTTGGTTTAATATGACACAGACATGTATGCACAACTGACTGTAATGGAAGGCAGCACAGAGGAACCATGAGAGTTCAGAGATCAAAAGAGATCCCTTTCCATGGTCCGAGGGGAGGGATCGGAGGAGACTTTGGGGAGGTGAGCTTGTTGGCCTTTCCCTATTGACATCTCCAATAGAGATTGGAGGAGAAGTGACTGAGCAATCTCTTTACTTCTTCCTATGTCAAGAAGACTTGCAGCTGATCTACATCTATGTATAGCTGTAGCTGATTCATATCTTGTATAGCACATGCATGGTTAGTTTTCTGCATGCACACACATATATGTTTCTTTTCCTGCTGAGCCAATCATTTCTATTTAAGTACCCATCACTGTATCCATATTAGTTCCTGGGCCATACAAAAGAACCACAAACTTATTCTCTTACAGTTCTGGAGACCAGAAGTCTGACATTAGGTGTCAGCTGAGTTTGTTCCTCTGGAGGCTCTGAGGATGAATTAGCCTCCTTTCCTCTTTCCTGGCTTCTGGTGTTTGTGGTAATCCCTGACATCCTTGGGTTGTAATTGCACCACTCCAATCTCTGTATCCATCTTCACATTGCATTTCTCTCTGGGTCTGTGTGTCTCAAATCTCTTATAAAGCCACCAATCATTAGATTTATGGCCTACTCTAAATCTAGGATAATCTCGTCCTGAGATTCTTAACTCAATTTTATCCACAAAGATCCTACGTTCAAATAAGGTCACTTTGGGAGGTGCTGAAGCTTAGGACTCAGACATATCTTTTTGGATGACACTGTTTAACCCGCTGCAATGTCCAGACGGGACTTAGCTTCCCATCTTTGGTTAGAGATGATTTATGCTTTCTAATGAACATTTATATTATTTGTAGCAGTAACACTATGAAAGAGATACTCATTTCAAAGAGAGTGACATTCCATGTAAAAGAAGGGAAAAAATCTCTTAGTTGAATAAACGAGGAGAGGTAAATGAATAACACACCACAAATGATTTACCTGCAGCTGCAATTTAAAGGATATTTCTGTGGATTCATCCCTCAAGTATAAAGTGCTCTGAACCTCTAGAAGAGTGGCTTGACTGTAAGTGTCTAGATACTACTTATTATGCAAAAATCCAGGATTGCTCTCATATCAAGTGCCTGGACTTATTTTTCTTAAGAAGTGTTAGATAAAATATTTTTTGTTACACTGTGAAAATCAATGTGTATTTCAGACAGTGTGTTCTTTCAAGCCTCTATTTGCCAAAAAGAACAGGGCACTTGAATTACACTGGGTCACAGAGATCTCGTGTAAGTGGGTTGTGTACAATGAGGAAGACAGGTGACTAGGATATGAGCTCATTTTGGCATTGTGGAATGCTAGAGATTTAGACAATCAGGGTTTGATTGGAAACCTTTCGCGTTAATGTACAGTCACTATAGATGTTTACCTTGACTTGAGTTATCAAAGGAAAAACATGAATGTAGCTAAATTGTCTTCAGTGGTTCATATATTTAGGTTGACGCATTATTGCTTATTTTATGCCCAGCATGAAACAGGAAAGGAAACTCAACAATATTTAGATTGGGATTATGGTTTCAATTTTTTAAAGGATAAAAATGGTGCAGAAGTCTTTTGGGGGAAATAATGACTATTTATGATAAATAAAAAATTTTGCTCTTCTTTTTTTTAAAAAAAAATATCTGTTCCCTGGAAGCCAGGTTTATTAAATGATTTAGCCTCTTAGTTTTCAACCTCAAATCACCACATGACTTGTGGTGACCTCAGAAAGTATACATGGCAAGCCTAATGCTTTGTGAAGGTTTTCTTTAGTGCAAACCACTTTTGGACAACAGTTTATCCCTTCACCTGAGGACAATAGATTAAAAAGTAAGAAGCTGCCATGACACTTCACCAAACATCTTCTGCCCTTTCTTTAAAGGATGTTGAAGGTGACTAATGGGGTCTGACATGTTTTTGTTATGTATGAAATATCAAAATGGCAAATCCTAATGTTTGCTTCATCCGAGGACACTTTCATACCTTATGCTTTACCTTGTCAGCTTGAATTGATATCAAGCTGGGACAGGTCATGACTGTTCCTTTGATTCTCTGTCATAGCTAAAAATGCTCAGATCAGCTGCTTAAATGTGTGGTAAAATGTGTGAGACCATGTGGTGTAGTGAAGAGGACACTGGAGCAGCTGCCAAAAACCTGGGTTCCAGTCTTGACTTTACTAGCTCTGCAAACCTTGAAAAACCAATAGAAATCAGTAGATATTTATTGAGCACTTAACATGTGCCAGTTCTTGTGCAATAGAAGAGCAGAGAGACAACTAAGACATGGATCCCGCAGAATGGTAAAATGTTGAGGTACACTCATAAATATAACTTTAATATGAGGGATAGAGGTTTATGCCACAAATAGGACTAGATTAAAAGCTATAGCAAGCCAAGGAGGGAGCAATTTCTTAGGTTTGGGAAGATCAAGGAAGATTTCATAAAAGAGGCTGATCCATGAGCTGAGGCTAGAAGGTGGGGTAGGATTTGAGCTTGTGGTAATGGGCGTTGTGGGTGGGAAAGACAGTGCAGACAAAGTAAACCATGTGATCAAGCTCAGGGAGATAGTAAAGTGCACAGCACTGTGGAGACTGATGAGACACCTGTTAATTGCACGTGCAGGGGTGTAAGGGGGTAGTGCAGTGGGCTGAGAAAGCCAAAGCTACAAAAATATTGAAGCTAAGTTCTCTGTTGAGATTGATCTATTAGAAGAAGAAGAAAGAGAAGACAAAACAAAGAAGAAAGGAAAAGGATGGATGGAGGAAAAGAAGGAAGGAAGGAAGGAAGGAAGGAAGGAAGGAAGGAAGGAAGGAAGGAAGGAAGGAAGGAAGGAAAAGAAAGAAAAGCTAAGCCTGGGGAATACCTATGTTACTGTTCAGCACCTCTGCTTGGTCAAGGAGCAAGTGGAAAAAATGCCCTTTGAGAGGACCATGTCCTGTCACAGAAACAGTCTGATTCAAAGGCCTGGTTGGTCAAAGGGGCCCCGAATTTCTGCCCAGATCACTTTGACAGGCTTCATGAGAGACAACAAAACATGTTTGCTTGTGTAAATCCATCCAAAGTTTGTGTAGGCTCTTCCCTGTACTATGGCAGACAAACTAAGCATAAAAATGGTATTAAGAACATTGTTCTAACACTTTGTGGTTTATGAACTCTTGTAAATACAATGCTTATGAAAGCAGGCAATGATATACCATTTTATGGTATAATATCTTTGCCTGCTTTCATAAGCAATGTATTTACTGCATACAAGGGCTCATAAACCACAAAAAGAAGAAAGAGGGAGAGAAGGATATTAAACTCAGGTCTCTTTTTGAGATCAGGTGTTGGTAGGATGGTACAATTGTGCAAAAACCCCAAATTTTGATAGTGGCAGTGTTTCAAAGTTGGGACAATGTTGGCGACCTTACAAAAATGATTTAACTGAATTCTTGAAGAGAATATTAATTTGAGTTTTATGGTCAGCACTGTAAAGCATCCTTAGGAAGTTATTTACTTTCTTTCTCATGGATAATAATATTTCATTTTTAAAATAAAGGAGACAAACCTGATTTTAAAAAGTCTTCCCTTTCTTTTCTTTGTATGATTTTAAGTATATGCCAGTATATAGTCAAACCATCATCCAGATTTGTATCTGCATGTTATTAGATATTCAAATAGAATAAATTTTCCTTTGTTTAAATATATAGTTAATGCATGCATAGAATTTAAAATATTCAAACAGTACAAAAGAACAAAAATTAAATGTAAAATAATCCTCTACTTCATCATCAACCCCTCTTACCCAAGACAGCCAGTGTCAGTATTCTTTCTTGTTAATTTTACTAGCAATTATTGTTATAACTTTGTATAATATATGTGGATTCCTACTTTTTGATTTCTCAACTCTCAAGAGAAGCTATTATTTCCTGGAGAGAAGCTATTATATGAGAGCTGAGAAGTTTACTTATTTATATTGCTATCTACTTTTTATTTCCCCCTCACCTCTGAAATTTTGTTAGCTTGATCATTATTTTTGGATCTTTTACTGGTTGTCTTCACAAATTTAAGTAATATAACTAAGGTCTATTTCATGATTTAGCACCTTTAGACAGTTACAAAACAGTATAAGGAAAATGACACTAATGCAGCCTTCTACCCACAAATTTTTCTTTCCTCTGTAATTATTTTTATACGATCTAAATTTGTTACATCTGCATTATCTTCTGTCATTGTAAATACATTTTATGTGATTATATACTACACGGATTATTTTGAAAAGAAAAGTAATATCCAGAATTAACAATATAATGATTATGTAAATAATATTCAATGCAGAACTAGAAAGTGTAGATAAAGTCATAGAGAAGAAACAGTTCTATGCCACTCACATTTCAGGTAAAGGAGACCCTCTAAATGTCCTATCTAGTGGATTCTCTCTTACCTGATTCCAAGTCTCCCTTACGCACCAGCCATTCTCGGCCGCTGCCTCTTCTTGTATCCCATTTCATCTTCTTTCTCAAATTTTGGTTCTATTTTGGTAGAAGACCACATCTCAAGTAGTATATTTTCAATTAGTGTAAGGGCAGTAAACTTCTTGAGTTTTTGCACATCCAAAACTGTCTGAACTGATGGTTTGACTGAGTATAGAATTCTATGTTCAAATCCCATTCCCTCTGAAATTTGAAGTTTTCATTGTCTTCTAATACCCAAAAGATGCTGACAAGAAGTCTGATATTACTCTAAGTTTTGTTCCTATGTTAGGGACCACCTCCCCATCACCCTGACGTCTACATAGCCCCCCGTCCTTGGAGTTTCCAACTTCTACCGTGATGTGTCTATTTGTCCTTTCTCACTGGTCCTTCTCGGCATTTAGCACCTGTGGGAGTCAAGTTGATGATAGTGAGAGGAAATGTGGTCTATTGGACTGAACAAAGGATTTTGAGTCAGACGATTTGAGTTCAAGTCTTGATTTTGCCACTTCTTTTTGTCTGTCTGTGAAACCTTGCAAAGTACTTTATCTTCACTTAGAAACATTTTTTTTTTCTACCAGGACAAAATAGTAATCACCCCTGCTCTTTCCTCCCATGGCCCACTTATGTTGCAAGGTTATTGTTATTGTAAACTATTGGGAGTAAAATGGTTTTACAAATTCTAGAGTTGTGTATTAGGGTCAATATTGTTGCAATGAATGTGAACACAATGAAAAGTGTTCATTGGTGTTATAGAAATATTGGGGTCTTATTTTTCCTGCATTTATTGTTTGTCGCTGCCTAGATGCCTGGATTCTGGATATTACGGTGAGGTCGTAACTTGGCAATCTTGCAAGGCAAGCTTGCTACTTAGTAGACTTGGCCCCTGGACACCTGCCAGGCAGCTATGTAGAGCATCTCTCTCACTCAGCAAATCTCGAGGTAAGGCACATGGGTCCACTCAGCATGAGGCCTGAGTGATTACTGATCTGTCTCTTTATCCTTCTTAGAATAACTCCCCACTGCCTAGGAAATAGAAATTGCACACATACTGACATACTGTATAGCTCCAAAATTCAGCCAGTCACAAAAGGGGTAAGAAGAAATAATCTAAATGACCATTTGAGGCATAAGCATGAACGCTTCCAGGAACTGCAAAATTTAGCTTTCTGAAGTATACTTTTCATCTTTCATATATTCTGGGAAATATCAAACAATGATGTAAGCTGGAGGAGGAGAGAGTAAATTAGAATCACAAATCATTAGATTAGGAAAGAATCTTCCAATTAACCAAGATCCCTGTTTTACAACTAAGGAAACTGAGACTGTGTCTGGTTTACACACGCACACACAGGGACTTGCCCAAGGTCATATGAGCTAGCTGGAAGTAAATTCTAGGTCCCTTAACCCCATTTCACAGTTCTTTTACCCAAAGAGTCCATTCTGCCAATAGTCTTTTGAACTTTCCAATAGGTTGCTTTTTAAACGGAGAGCAGAGAGAGTCCCTGCAACAGAGTGATCTGGAGGCTGTTCTCAAGGCAGGTAGTGGCAGTACCTCAGAGCAATTCCTGCTGCAGACCCCGTGTGGATGCTACAAGCATTGACCACAGGCTTCTCTCCACAGTCATGGGAGGCAGGAATTACTGCTTCTACCTTAAAGATTCAAGGAACTTTCAGGGAGGCAAGCAAGGTCACACAATCTGTAAAATTTGTTTTTGTTAAATGGCAGAGGCAGAACTTGTACCCAAATTTGATTTTAATCATGGGACTGGTTCTCACAATTGAGTTGAAAAGATAGTCTAGGAAATCTAGTACCCTAAATACTTCATTCTGCCTCACAATTTTTCAGCACATGCTGTGATAAATAAAGGCACAGGAACCAGTTTTAAGATAGCCAGTCCTGGGCACAATTTAAAGGAATTTTAATGGGCTTAACTTTACTGGATCTTGGTTTTAGTTTCCTTTGTCTGGCATATGGATTCCTTTCATATGGTCTTTTTGGCATACTCATGGGGCTCGGTAGATTTAAAATTCCTTGAGAAAGAGATGAGCTGTGCTTTGCCTTGGTGAGAGCACTGCTTCAACAGTGCATTCAGCCCTGGGTACCACTCATGGTGAAGATAAAGTGTGTCCAGGAGGAGAGGGGCCTGGGAACAAAACATGAGACAAGCCATGGAAGGCAATGGACATGTTCAGCTTAGTGACCTCAGTCAAAAGAAAGCTCGCGGAGCACTTACTAGCTGTGTTCAAATTCCTGGAGGACCATGGAGTGAAGATGAGATTAGACTCGCATCATGCACCTTCAAGAGGCTGCATAACCAACAGATGAAAATTATAGAGAACAACATTTTAGCTGACAATCAGAATGATTTTCTAACAGCTGAGCTCTCTGAAGATGACATGAGCTGCCATTACATGAGCTCAGTTCTGAGAGGCAGTGTGAACTGTCCTTGGCAGAGGAGTTGTGGTTGAGTTATTGAGACAGCCAAGTGTAAAGGGATCCCTGGAGAACCTCTGACCTGCCTGCACACTGGGAGGACTGTGCATTTGGGTGGAGCCTCGGGAAGCTCATGCCGGTTGCAGTAGGCAGGAGCCTGGCCCCTCCTCTTCCTGGGTGGAAGCTGGGATTCAATCTGATGTGAGAGCATGTTTACAGGAACCTATCTCGTGTTGCTGAGTTTTTTTCCTTTTCGCCCAATAAATTCCATTTTTCTCACCCTTCAAAGAGTCTGCGAGCCTAATATTTCATGGTCATGTGGCAAGGACCCAATTTTTAGCTAAACTAAGGAGAAAGTCTTACAACATTATGATGGAAATTAAGCTGGAGCCATCAGAAAGTCTGTCCAGCACAGAGAATGATGGTATTCCTTCGTTTAAGAGTTCAAAATCTCTGCAGCTCAAAAATCACCTATCTAGCATAACTAAACACACACACACACGTTATTTTATCTTCCTGATTACAATCATGACAACCTAAATTGATTGAGCATTTACTATATGCCACAGAAGTTTAGCTCCTCATATGCTTTATTAAATTTAATCCTTCTCACTGTCCTATTGAAAGTTTATATTATTATGTATTTCATAGATAATTATGAATATTATAAATTAAGTAACCAATAATATTCAGATATTACTAAACATCATAGGCATGTAGTGAGGGAGCCAGGATTTCAATCCAAGTGTGTTTAATACCGGGATCCTAAATACTCTGCTTTTCTGCCTCTTTTCTTCATGAAGCTTAGTACATTGGAAATGCCAAAAATAACCTGGTTTGCGCCCAGAATAACTCAATGAGAATTGGAGGGGTGCTGAAGATAAACTAAAATAATATTATGATTTCTCTGTCATGAATAAGAGACAGCTATGCTCCATTTTGCCCAAGGAAGTAAAATTATCTTATTAATGAGAGAAGCAGAAATTCACAGCCCCAGAGGAGGAAACCTTCCCAGTTTTTGTGGTTCTCCATCAGTTTTAGATGGAGGGGGCTTCTAGATGTCAACCTAATTTATGGCTGCGTCCTTGAAGTTCTTGTGCAGGAGTTGAGGTTGGGGAAGAGAGTAGGGAAAAGAGGGTCAAGTCTGCTCTCCCGAGGAAGAACTTGTTTAACTTCAGAACCTTTGGGAGTTTGAATAATTAAAGGTGTGTGTGTGAGTGTGTTGTTTCCTGTGGAAGATTTTCTGGCCATGACTTCCGGTCATCACAGCTGCTTTAGCACATGCTCAAGGAGGAGTCACTTCAAGTCTGATTCAATTTTAAAATACTAAAAGAGAAAAGAGAAAACAGAAAAGCTCTCCTGCAACTCCTCAAGACAATAAGAAAAACAAACACAGAATTCCCTATGTCAGAAAAGGAGCTCTAGAGGCTCTTTTATCAGTTTGATGTTTGCAGCCACCCTGAGATGATGTTGCAAACTTTGGATTTTTCAAACAATTGATGATTTGCATTCCAAGAGAAGCTTTTCATTTTCTCTACTTTTCTAAAGGTCATGTTATACAAGGGATTCTTGAAGCTGCTTGAGTCATTTGATTCCACAGAGACTCAGGAGCACTGTGGAAATAGCCTCAACTAAGGAATCTGGATATCTTCAAAAGTTTTCAAAGCAGGGCCCTGGAAAGCATGAGAGTTTTAAATGTTGCCTTAAAACTAGTCTGGATTTCCCTTAAAAATACTGGAAAATATTGAAAAATATTTCCTCCTAGCACTTTGGAAGGCCAAGGCAGGAGGATCACGTGAGCCCAATAGTTCAAGACCAGCCTGGCAACATAGTGAGATCCTATCTCTATTAAAAACAATTTTGAATTGATTACAGACATGCCCTTGTCCCAAGGACAAAGGAGCACAGGAGAGGCATCCACAGCAAGAGATGCCAACATATTTTGAAAAGTCTGAAAGTGGGGTAAAGACCATGCCAACACAAGGACCCCAAAAGTGGGGTGCTATGAGAAGTGAGCTGATGTGACCCACAGAACCCTTACGAATCTCAGCTGTGGCAGAAAGAGCAGGGAGAGGGTGCTGGGAGCAAAAGCAGGGAGATTAGCTGGAAGCCTGAAAAAGAATCGTGAGCACTCCGGTTCCCTTTCTTACTACAGACTACTAGGGAGTTAGCCGTGCCTCACAACACTGGAGACCTGAGGCTTGCTCTCTTGGAAAACAGAATCATTTCATTCCTGAGTTGGGGCACCACACATAGTGCAAGGCTGATGTCTAATATATGGCCTAAAACACGGGGAAGGGGAAGGGAAAGATTTGCATACTGAACCAAGGAAGTCTCATTTCACTTTCTAACCGCATCCCACCCGCCCCCTGCCCCTCCCCCTGGGCCTTGGTAGCTGGAGCTCTGGCCACAGGGCAGAATGTGTTTTTCTATGGGGAAACCAAAGGAATTCATTTAAAAAGACTTGTAGATTTTATATAAAGTGCCAAACAAAAGCTAACCAGATGCCTGAGAACTCCACAGAAAAGATAGAGAGTCGGCATGTCCCATCCACAGTCACAAAGAAGTATGAACGTATGAATGGGTTGCCAAGGATACCAGGCATCTGAAAAGCCTTCAAACATGAGTGTAAAAGAGATGATTACAACAAACAAACAATAATAATAATGAATTCAGAGGACACAGAGACAATGCAGGGCAGAAGAAAATTAAAATATAATAACTTACAATTAACATCCCCGGAGAGATAAGAGCTGAAACAAGAATAGGAAGCATAAAAACCAGAAGGAGGCCTTGGAATTAAAAAAAAAAAAAAATCATTTCTGAAATAAAATCCCAATAGAAGAAGATGAAATCAAAAGAATCTATCAGAAATAGAATAAGAAGATAGAGATGTAAAAGATATTGGCGATTCCAGAAAGTGAACAGAAAAAAAGGAAGGAGAGGATATGATGAAGGATATAATTCCAGAACTGAAAGCTTAAGTTTTCAGATTGAAAAGCACCACTGAGTGTTCAGCTCAGCAAATTTAAAAAGACTCTCACTAATACACAGCATTATGGAATTTGTTGATTTTTTTTTTTTTAGATGGAGTTTTTGTTCTTGTTGTCCAGGCTGGAGTGCAGTGGCATGACCTCAGCTCACTGCAACCTCCACCTCCCGGGTTCAAGAAATTATCCTGCCTCAGCCTCTCAAGTAGTTGGGATTATAGGCGTGTGCTACCACACCTGGCTAATTTTTGTATTTTCAGTAGAGACAGGGATTCACCATGTTGGTCAGGCTGGTCTCGAACTCCTGACCTCAGGTGATCTACCTGCCTCGGCCTCCCAAAGGAGGTCTCCCAAGAGCCAAACAGAAGAATTTTATTGAGTTGAACCTGATCTTGTGATATTTTTACTTCATCTGAAACCTAATGTTACTTACTAGTTAATAGCAGTAACAGATAGACCCTAATAAGGGTAATGGCTCAAATACAACAGAGAATGGTTTCTCACTCAGGTAACAGTATCAGTGGGTAAAAACATCAGCATGATGGTTTATTCTATGCTGTCATTCTTAGACCCTCAACTGATGGAAGATCTGCCATCTTGAACATAGGGCTCCCAAGATTGTCCTGGGTACCACCTCCATTCCTGCTAGTCAGACATGAAAAAGAAAATGCTAAAGCACAACATGAAAGGGTTTATATGGGCCAGGTCTGGAAGTGGCACACATTATTTGCCTCAATATTCCACTGACTAGAACTCCTGAAAATGGCCACAATGAACTATAAGCTTGAGGTAAGGAGAGTGGAAAAGGATTGAGAAATGTAGTGCCTGGTTGGGTAGGCAGTTTCTGACCTAATCCTACACTAAGGAAGAGGGATCATGTTTGAAATGGACAGCTAGCCATCTTTCTCAAGTGGATATTTTGTTGCTATTTTTGGATTTGAGTCAAAGTAAAATAGAATGCTCTCAATTGATGTTCGTATTACTTAAATAGGATTTCCTTTAACTATTTTAATTTTTTCTTTTTTTCCTTTTTTTCTTTTCTTTCTTTTTTTTTTTTTTTTTTTTTTGAGGTGGAGTCTTGCTCTGTCGCCCAGGCTGGAGTGCAGTGGCGCTATCTCGGCTTACCACAAGCTCTGCCTCCTGGGTTCACGCCATTCTCCTGCCTCAGCCTCCCGAGTAGCTGGGACTACAAGCGCCTACCACCATGCCTGGCTAATTTTTTGTATTTTTAGTAGAGACAGGGTTTCACTGTGTTAGCCAGGATGGTCTGGATCTCCTGACCTCATGATCCACCCACCTCGGCCTCCCAAAGTTAATATATTCTATTCTTGATATGGTTTGGCTCTGTGTCCGCACCCTAACCTCATCTTGAATTGTAATCCCTGTAATCCCCAGGTGTTGAGGGCAGGACCTGGTGGGAGGTGATTGGATCATGGGGGCAGTTTCCCCCATGCCATTCTTGTGATAGTGAGTGAGTTCTCATGAGATCTGATGGATTTATAAGTGTTTGACACACGCATTCTCTCTCTCACCTGCTGCCATGTAAGTCATGCCTGCTTTGCTTTCCACCGTCATTGTAAGTTCCCTGAGACCTCCCCAGTCATGCAGAACTGTGAGTCGAGTAAACTTCTTTCTTTTATAAATTACCCAGTCTCGGTGGTATTCTTTATAACAGTGTGAGAACAAACTAATACAATTGTAATAAGCAAAGAATGACTATTCTGCATATCCAGCCAATTTTTACCTCTAAAACAATAGTATCCATCAATTTTTAAAAAAATCAATAGCTTAGTCAAAAAACAATATGTTCATCTACAACCGTCTGACCTTTGACAAACCTGACAAAAACAAGCAAAGATCAAATGATTCCTTGTTTAATAAATGGTGCTGGGAGAACTGACTAGCCATATGCAGAAAACTGAAACTGGACCCCTTCCTTACACCTTATACAAAAATTAACTCAAGGTGGATTAAAGACTTAAATGTAAAATCAAAACCATAAAAACCCTAGAAGAAAACCTAGGCAATACCATTCAGGACATAGGTATGGGCAAAGATTTCATGACAAAAATGCCAAAAGCACTTGCAACAAAAACTAACATTGACAAATTGGAATTAAACTAAAGAGCTTCTGCACAGTCAATGAAACTATCATCAGAGTGAACAGGCAACCTACAGAATGGGAGAAAATTTCTGCAATCTAACCATCTGACAAAGGTCCAATATCCAGAATCTACAAGGAACTTAAACAAATTTACAAGAATGAAACAAAAAACCCCATCAAAAAGTGGGCAAAGGACATGAACAGACACTTCTCAAAAGAAGACATCTATGCTACCAAGAAACATATGAAAAAAAGTTCAACATCACAGAAATACCTCAGGTCTCCAGTGTTGTGAGGCACGACTAACTCCCTAGTAGTCTGTAGTAAGAAAGGGAACTGGAGTACCCGTGATTCTTTTTCAGAAATACCATTTGACCCAACAATCCCATTACTGGGTATATACCCAAAGGAGTATAAATCATTCTACTACAAAGACACATGTACACCTATGTTTATTGCAGCACTATTTACAATAGCAAAGACATGGAACCAACCCAAATGCCCATCAATGATATACTGGATAAAGAAAATGTGGTACATACACACCATGGAATACTATGTAGCCATAAAAAGGAACAAGATCATGCCCTTTGCAGGGACATGGATGAAGCTGGAAGCCATTATCCTCAGCAAACTAATACAGGAACAGAAAACCAAACACTGCATGTTCTCACTCATAAGTGGGAGTTGAACAATGAGACCACATGGACACAGGGAAGGGAACAACACACACCAGGGCCTGTCAGAAGGTGGGGGATGAGGAGAGGGAAAGCATCAAGACAAATACCTAATGCATGCGGGGCTTAAAACCTAGGTGACGGGTTGATAGATGCAACAAACCACCATGGCACATGTGTGCCTATGTAACAAACCTGCACATTCTGCACATGCATCCCAGAACTTAAAGTATAAACAAAAACACTGTGTTAAACCTTATACCAGGTTTTGGGGATATACCAATGAGCAGGACAGGCAAGTCTTCTGCTTGCGTGGTCCTCAGATTCCAACAAGGACAGACTGGGGATAGACAATAAACAGATTTTTAAAATCAAGTAGCGCTAAGTGGTAAAAGTAAAATAAGACAAGGTAGTGAGAAATGGAATGGCTGGCTGCTATTTAGAATGTGAAGTTAGACACGTGCCCTTTGAGGAAGTGGCATTTAAACTGAGACCTCAGTGACTAAAGGCGGGCAGCCGTTTTGGGATCTTGGGTAAGAACTTTTCAGGTTCAGGGATTGGCTCATGCAAATGCCCTTACATAGTAATGGGCTTGACTGTGAGACAGAGACAAGGCAAGTGTGGTTAAAAAGTTGTGAGAGGAGGGTGTGATGGGGTTGAGAGCAGACATGGTGTCAGGGAATTAGATAACACAGTATCTTGAAGGCCATGATAAGGAGTTTTACTTTTATTTCACATGCAATGGGAAGCAGTTGGAGGTTTGAAGCAGGAGAGTGACTCTCCTTTCAGTTGTTGTTGTTGTTGTTAACTCTACTCTGCTTGTTATGACAAGAGTGGATGGAAGAGGGCCAGGAGAGGCAGGGATGGTACTTAGGAGGCCTTTGTTATGATCCAACATAGGGTAATAGCAAGTTTGGAATATGGAGGTAGTAGCAGAGATGAATGAAGGATGAAACTGATGAGTATTTTGGAGCTTCTGTGGTCCAAATTTCTGAAGGATTTGTTGTGGAGGGAGTGAAAAAGTACAGATTTCTAACTGCCTCTTATGTGGGATGCATTTGCCAACTTTCATTATTTTACTGAATCCAAGATACCTCTAGAAGAAGTTTCTTATGGTCTAGGTAGAGGGTCAGAAGATCTGGTTTCTGTTTGCTTTTCCTTGCTGTCTTATTTGCCTGAACAAACTCCTTGCTCTTTAATTTTTGTAAGAAAATGAAAATGGCCTCTAACACTTACCTAAGAAAACTGGTGAAGGGTGATAAATGTGATAACATTCTCTGCAACAAAATTCTAATAGGAACAAAGATGCTCTTCTGGCTGGGAGATACATCCTGAGCATTTGAATTTAATCAGACTGCAGCATATTTCTTTGACCTTTTACAATGATGATGACTAACTGGCTCCCATGTGGGTAGCTTATATTTTAGACAAAGGAGGGAAAATAAAATCATTCTTGACTTGGGGCAGTTGATATCATTTAATTGAGTCATAGCTGCATAGACTACAACTGAATATGCAGAGGAATCCAGGGAGAATTTGTTCATTAAAAGGGTGATTTCTTCCTTTTGCTTTTTTGCCCCTTTGTTAAGAAAGGGTCTTCTGTTCATTTTGTCTTTACCTGATTTGACTTGTGATGCAGACAAGAAACTCAAAAGAGCATGTGAGAAGGGATTTCAGTCTGTATATCAGCTGTCATTTTCTATAAGTGAGCAGGCACTTGTAGGACCCAGAGATTATGGAACTGGAATTTTAGGTACACTATAAAGCAAAGTAGAACTACAATTCACCCTTTCACATGTTAGAGTTTTGAGTTTGCAAAATCATTTACTCAGACTGCAGTCAAATATTAGTGATTTTGTGCAAACTAAATTCCCCCCTTGTAGGAAATATACAATGAAAACAATAGTTCTATAGTTGGGAGACTTTAGCTTCTGTGATTTCTATTTCCCCAGGTATGTATGATCATTCAGTACTGATGCTCTCTTACATTTTTAATTAAAACTATCTGAATTTTTGCACTTTGTAGGCCTTGCAATATATACTTCTAAAGGTAGTATTTAAGATCATACACCTCAGATCTTACATCACTCCCTATTAGGGAAAGGTGTGTGGCTTTTTATAGCACCAAGAGAAAAATTCTCCTGAGTATGACTGTCTATGTGTCTGTTAGAAGGAGAAGTTATAAAGATCTACAAAGAGACTTACAGTCCCAGACACTAATAGTGAAAAACTTCAACACTCCATTGACAGTATTAGTCAGATGATTGAGGCAGAAGATTAGTAAAGATACTCAGGATGTGAGCTCAACATTGGACTCAGTGGAGCTGGTAGAGGTCTACAAAACTCTCCATCCAAAAACAACATAATATACATTCTTCTCATTTGCACAGGGAACATACTCTAAAATTGACCACACAACCGGACATAAAACAATCCTCAGCAAGTGCAAAAGAAACTAAATGACACCTAACACACTCTCGGACACAATGCAATAAAAATAGAAATCAAGACTTTAAAAAATTGCTCAAAACCATGCAATTACATGAACATTAAACAACCTGCTCCTGAATGACTTTTGGGTAAATAATGAAATTAAGGCAAAAATCAGGAAGTTCTTTGAAACTAATGAGAACAAAGATACAACATATCAGAATCTCTAGGTCACAGCTAAGTCAGTGTTAAGAGGGAAGTTTATAGCACAAAACACCCACATCAAAAAGTTTAGAAAGATCTCAAATTAACAACCTAACATCACAACTAAAAGAACTAGAGAAGCAAGAGCAAACCAACACCAGAGTTAGCATTAGACAAGAAATAACCAAAATCAGAGCTCAACTGAAGGAGATTAAGACATGAAAAACCATTCAAAAAAATAAACACATCCAGGAGTTGGTTTTTTAAAGAAATTAGTAAGTAGGCAACTAGCTAGACTAAAAAAGAAGAAAAGAGAAAAGGTCCAAATAAACACAATTAAAATGACAAAAAGGATATTACAACTGACCCTAAAAAACCACAAATAACATCAGAGACTACTATGAACACTTGTACACACACAAACCAGGAAACCTAGGAGAGATGGGTAAATTCCTGGACACATGCACCCTCCTAAGACTGAACCAGGAAGAAATTGATTCCCTAGACAGACCAATAACAAGCCCTGAAATTGAATCAGTAATAAATAGCCTACCAACCAAAAAAAGCCCGGGACCAGACTAATTCACTGCCAAATTCTACCAGATGAACAAAGAAGAGCTGGTACCATTTCTACTGAAACTATTCCAAAAAACTTAGAAGGAGAGACTCTTCCCCAACTCATTCTATGAGACTAGCATCCTCCTGATACCAAAACCTGGCAGAGATACAATAAAAAAGGAAACACTAGGCCAATATCCTTGATGAATATTGATGCAAAAATCCTCAACAAAATACTT
Organism: Homo sapiens; assembly: GCF_000001405.40. NCBI lineage: Eukaryota > Metazoa > Chordata > Mammalia > Primates > Hominidae > Homo > Homo sapiens. Next base: position 394,123 of record NW_025791769.1, on the reverse strand, counting down.
GTAAACAGAATCCAGTAACATAAAAAGCTAATCCATTGCATCGAGTAGGCTTTATCCCTGGGATGCAAGGTTGGTTCAACATATGCAAATAAATAATGTGATTCATCACATAAACAGAACTAAAGACAAAATCCACATGATCATCTCAATAGATGCAGAAAAGGCTTTTGGTAAAATTCAACATCCCTTTATGTTAAAAACTCTCAATAAAGTACGCATCGAAGGAACATACCTCAAAATAACAAGAGACATTTATGATAAACCCATGGTCAACGTCATCCTAAATGGGCAAATGCTGGAAGCATTTCTTTTGAAAACCAGCACAAGACAAGGATGCCCTCTTTCATCATTCCTATTCAATATAGTATTGGAAGTTCTGGCCAGAGCAATCAGGCAAGATAAAGAAAAAAAGAGCATCCAAATAGAAAGAGAGGAAGTCAAACTATCCCTATTTACAGATGACATGATTCTGTATCTAGAAAACCCCATAGTCTCAGCCCAAATGTTATTTCAGCTAATAAACAACTTCAGCAAAATTTCAGGATACAAAATTAATATACAAAAATCACTAGCATTCCTATACTCTGATATGGCTTGGTTCTGTGTCCCCATCCAAATCTCATCTTGTAGCTCGCATAATTCCCACGTGTTGTGGGAGGGACCCAGTGGGAGATGATTGAATCATGAGGGCAGGTCTTTCCTGTGCTGTTCTCCTGATAGTGAATGGGTCTCACGAGATCTGATGGTTTTAGAAATGGGAGTTTTCTGCACAAGCTCTCTTTGCCTGCTACCATTCACATAAGATGTGACTTGCTCCTCCTTGCCTTCCACCATGATTGTGAGGCCTCCCCAGCCATGTGGAACTGTAAGTCCAATAAACCTCTATCTTTTGTAAATTGCCCTGTCTCAGGTATGTCTTTATCAGCAACATGAAAATGGACTAATACATACACCAAAAACAACAAGGCTGAGAGCCAAATAAGGAACACAATCCCATTCACAATTACCACAAAAAGAATAAAATACCTAGAAATACAGCTAACCAGGGAGGGAAAAATCTCTACAATGAGATTACAAAACTCTGCTCAAAGAAATGAAAGATGACATAAACAAATGGAGAAACATTCGATGCTCATGGGTAGGAAGAATCAATATCATTAAAATGGTCATACTGCCCAAAGCAATTTATAGAGTTAATGCTATTCCTGTTAAACTACCTATGACATTCTTCACAGAACTAGAAAAATTGACTTTAAGGTTCACAAAGAACCAAAAAAGAGCCAGAATAGCCAAAACAGTCCCAACCAAAAAGAACAAAGCTGTGGGCATCATGTTCCCAATTTCCAACTATACTACTACAGGGCTACATAACCAAACAGCATGGTACTGTTGCAAAAACAGACACATAGACCAATGGAACAGAATAGACAGCCCGGAAATAAAGCTGCACAACTACAACCATCTGATCTTCAACAAAGCTGACCAAAACAAGCAATGGGGAAAAGAGTCCCTATGCAATAAATGGTGCTGGAGTAATTGGATAGCCATATGCAGAAGATTGAAACTGGACACATTCCTTACACCATATACCAAAATCAACTAAAGATAGATTAAATACTTAAAGATGAAACCTAAAAAGTGTAAAATTCCTGGAAGACAACCTAAGCAAAATGTAAGACTTCATCATTTCATGACAAAGATGCTAAAAGCTACAGCAACAAAAGCAAAAAATTAACAAATGGAGTCTAATTGATCTAAAGAGCTTCTGCACAGCAAAAGAAACCATCAACAGACTAAACAGACAGCTTACAAAATGGGAGAAAACTTTTGCAAACTATGCATCTGCCAAAGATGTAATATCCAGCATCTATTAGAAACTTAAATTTTCAAGTAAAAAAACAAACAACTCCATTAAAAAGTGGGCAAAGGAGATGAACAGACACTTCAAAAGAAGATATACGTGCAGCCAACAATCATAAGAAAAAAAGCTCAAAATCACTGATCATTAGAGCAATGCAAACCAAAACCACAATGAGATCACCTCACACCGGTAAGAATGGCTGTTATCAAAAAGTCAAAAAATAACAGGTGCTGGCAAGATTAGAGAGAAAAGCGTTTGCTTATACACTGTTGGTGGGAATGTAAATTAGTTCAGCCATTGTGGAAAGCAGTGTGGCAATTCCTCAAAGAACTGAAAACAGAACTACCATTCAACCCAGCAATCCCATTACTGGGTATATACCCAGAGGAATAAAAGTTATTCTGATATAATGACACATGCAGGCATGTGTTCACTGGAGCACTATTCATAATAGCAAACACATGGAATCCACCTAAACAACCATCAATGGCAGACCAGATGAAGAAAACGTGGTACGTACACACCATGGAATACTATGCAGCCTTAAAAAGGAACAAGATCATGTCATTTGCAGGAACATGAATGGAGCTGGAGGCCATTATCTTTAGCAAACTAATGCAGGAACAGAAAATCAAATAATGCATGTTCTCACTTATAAGTGGATGATAAATGATGAGAACATATGGACACAAAGAGGGGAGCAACAGACACTGGGGGATACTGGTGGGTGGAGGGTTGGAGGAGGGAGAGAATCAGAAAAAATAGCTATTGGGTACTAGACTTAGTATCTGAGTGATGAAATAATCTGCACAACAAACCCCATGACATGAATACCTATATAATAAACCTGTACATGTACCCCTGAACCTAAAATAAAAGTTTAAACAAAAAGAAGAAAATAATTTCTATTGTCTTTTTATTTAGCCCCATAATTGTTTTCATGAATGAACACAATGTACAGTGCAGCCACTATGTCTAGTTATTTTTCTGTTTTTAATTATTTTAAAATATAATAATTTTTATAGTCTGTAGCAGATAGTTCTATTATGTCAAGTCCTTGAGAGTATTTAATTTTCTGCCTTTTGTATCTATAATCTCGCTCTGTCTCTCTCTTTCAAGGTGGTTAATTTCCTTGTGTTTTCATAATTTTAGGTTTTAAGATCATCTTCTGTAGGGTTTTGTCTGTGAAAATATTGGGAGTCCTGGATTCGAATTTTTCATTTGCCTCTGGGAGGTATAACTAACTCTGTACAACTTCTGTTTTTTTTTTTTTTTCTTTCTTTCTTTTTTTTTTTTTTTGAGATGAAGTATCACTCTGTCACCCAGGCTGGAGTGCAATGGCACCATCTCAGCTCACTGTAACCTCTGCCTCCTGGGGTTCAAGCGATTCTCCTGCCTCAGCCTCCTAAGTAGCTGGGATTACAGCTGTGTACCACCACGCCCAGCTAATTTTTTTCTATTTTTAGTAGAGACAGGGTTTCACCATGTTGGCCAGGATGATCTCGAACTCCTGACCTCAAGTAATCCACCCACCTTGGCCTCCCAAAGTGCTTGGATTACAGGTGTGAGCCACCATGCCCAGCTTATTTAAAAACTTCTGTTTTTAAATAAACTTTTTATTGTAGAATAGTTTTTCATTTACAGAAAAGTTGCTAAGATAGAATAGAGGATTCTTGTATGCCCTATACTCAGTTTGTCCTATTGTTAATATCTTACAGTAGTATTATGCATTTACCACCACTAATGAAACAACATTAACAAGTTATTATTAACTGAAGTCCATATTTTACTCAAATTTCCTTGGAATTTACCTAATGTCCTTTTTCTCTCCCAGGATCTCATCCAAAACATCACATCACATTTAGTCATCATATCTCCTTAGGTTCTTCTACCCTGTGGCTTCTTGAGACTTTCTCAGCCTTTCTTTTTTTGATGATCTTGACCCTGTACCTCTCATGCACCTAAAATATGTCCTCAAAATACATGAGGAAAAATAATCCAAATTATAAGAAGAAAGAGTCAAAACCACAGTCGTGCTGAAAGATTTTCACACTCCTCCCTCAGATTTCATAAATCAAGTAGATAAAGCTTAGTGAAAATATCGAGAATATGAATAACACAATTATCAAACTTGAGCTAATGGAGATGCATAGATAGAGCTCTGTATCTCCAAATTTTAGAAAACCTACTGTTTCAAGCACATATAAAATTTTTACAAGAGTTGACCATCTGCTCCTCCACAAACCAGGTTTCAACAAATATAAAAATCAGGCCGTGTCCCTTGACCGTAGCACATCAGAAATTAACTACCCAAGATAATTAAAAATCCATGCTTAAAATACATTTAAAAATAAAAGAACACACATAATTCATGGATCAAATACAATATCAAAACAAACTTAGAAAGTATGTAATATTGACTGAACAAAAATGTGTCAAAACTTTTTAGATGAAACTAAAACAGAACTTAGAAGGGAAATTTTGGCCTTAACATTTATATCGCCAAAGAAGAAAGTTTTATCTTAAAGTTGATGCACAAAGACTATTTCTTAAGAAGTTAGAAAAAGAAGAAAATAAAACCGATGAAATGGGGGAGGACATTCTGCATGGCCTATGCAAGGAAGTACAAAGAATTGCCAGTACTTAGGGCTTTCTGAAGCACAGGTGTACACACAGACACACACACACATTGTATTCAGAAATTAGATATACTGTGGAAATGGTACGCTTAAGACATTTCTTCCATAAAAAAGTTAACATAATATTATAAAGTCACCTATATACCCTTCAATGAGATTCAACAATTTTAACATTTTTTCATATATCTTCTCTCTCTCTCTTTGTATGTATACTTTTTTCTGTACCATTTCAGAATAAGTTTTTGGCATTGACACCTCGCATATAAATACATCGACATTCATCTTCTAAGAATAAAAAAAATTCACTTTATGATACTGTTGTCACCTCCAAGAAAATAAATAATAATTTCATAATATTGCCCAGTATTAATACTTAAGTGTTCCTAATTACCCTGATAATGTCTTTTTAGCTGTTTCTCTTTTCTTTTCTTTCTCTTCCCAACCAGATCTGAGGCAAGCCTCATACATTGAATTTAGTTGTTATGTTACGTCTCTTTACTTTCTTTTAGTCTAGACGCTAAAGGAATTCTCCCACAATTTTTTTAAATGAGATTGAATTTTTTAATAGTACAGATGGTTGTCCTATAAAACATCCTATATTCATGACTTTTCTGATTACCTCTTCACAGTATCATTTAACTCGTTTTGCTGTCTCTCATATTTTCTCTAAACTGGAAGTGTGTCTCAAGGGCTAGATTACATCCAGATGAAATCCTTTGGGACAAGAAGACATCACAGAGAATCTTGTGAATTTTGCACTGCAGTACATAGACAGCCACTGATGCCAGCCTACCCCACTGCCAGTGATGTAAAGTTTGATCATTGGTGAACGTGCTGACCATCAAATCTCTCCCTTGCAATCATTTATTTTCCCATTTAAATTTGTAATTTGTGTGGTGATATTTTGCCACCATGAGAATATCCTGTTCCCCACAGCTTTTTACTTCACTGTTTCAGCTTTCTTTGACTATCCTCAACTGCATCAATTATTATACTGGGGCTTACGAAAAGGTGATTTTCCATTCTTATCCTTTATTACTTTGAAGACTTTGGATGTGATTCAAATTTGAGTTCTTTTTCTGTATGCAGAGTGGAGTCAATGGATCTTTATATAGCGGAGTTTGAAGAAGCGAGAGAATAAAGGTGTTTTATGGAATTTGTACCAGGATCCTGGGGTTCCAATATCATTTTCTCATCTTTGAGGCTCCTGGTGAAGAAAGTTACTTTAGTCTGAGCACTCTTTCTAATCTGCAGGGGGACCTTCTGTGGGAAAATGGGGGCCCTTGTACCCTGGATGTGAGGTTGTCCTCAGAGGAAATGTACAGTGTAAGCAGCCTTTGACTCAATTATGGCCTTTAACTTTACAAACAACTGTCAAGTCCTTGCTTATAGGGGAAATTATATGTGTGTATATGTGTGTGTGTATTATATGTATTATATGCACACATACATATAGCTCCTTCTGTGAGAGAATGCTTTGTCCATACCCGTTTCTACATCACAGCTTTGCACCTTCTCCCACGCAGCCTCCTGGCCGCCATCTCCTGCCTCCCTGGAGCAATTATTCTCTGGGGTCTATTAATCTCTCCTCTTCTTAGAGCAATTCCCTGTTTGCCAATTCTTTCCCACTTATTAATAGCAACTTTAAATAGGTCTAAGAACATTATAGTGAGGATGAAGGATTTTGTCTACCCTCCGTAGACAAAAGATCCTCCAGTTACCTGGACCTATGCTTTTCATATATACATATATATATATATATACACACACACACGTATATATATACACACACACATATACACACACATAATTTCCCCTGTAATATATGTATTATATTATACATATAACACATAATATATGCATATTTAATGTGGTATATATATATATGTGTGTATGTATGTGTGTGTGTGTGTGTGTGTATATATATATATCTCGTATAACTACAAAGTGAAAATAGACACACAGAATAGATTGCCTTAACACATAAGACTCATTTTTACTGACCCATAGTTGTTGGGTTTTTTTTTTTTTTAAACTTTTATTTTAGGTTTGAGGATACATGCGCAGGTTTGTCACATAGGTAAACTTGTGACATTATTTTTGTAAACAAAAATAATCTGTTTGTTGCACAGATTATTTCATCACCCAGATACTAAGCCTAGTACCAAGTCATTATTTTTCCTGATCCTATCCCTCCCTCCACCCTCCACCCTCCAGTAGGCCCCGCGTCTGCTGTTTCCCTCTTTGTGTCCATGAGTTCTCATCCTTTGGCTCCCACTTATACGTGAGAGCATGTGGCATTTGGTTTTCTATTCCTGCATTAGTTTGCTAAGGATAATAGTCTCCAGCTCCATCCATGTTCCTGCAAAAGCCATGATCTGGTTGATTTTTATGGCTGCATAATATTTCATGGCATATATGTACCACATTTTCTTTATCCAGTCTCATTGATGGGCATTTAGGCTGATTCCATGTCTTTGCCATTGTGAATAGCACTGCAATGAACATTCATATGCATGTTTCTTTATGGTAAAATGATTTACAGTCTTCTGAATATATACCCAGTAACGTGATTGCTGTGACCCATAGATTTTACTCTTAGAAATTTTTCATCAGGAAAATGTACAAGAACCTATCTACAACATCTCGGTGTGGTTTACTTCAATAAGTCAAATAAACAGTGATAATGCCAAGCAATATATATTGCTTAAATAAATTTTTGTGCGGCTCTATAATGGATATTATGAAGCTATTGAATATTATATGGTAGGAGTAGATTTAATGACAATTTTATAAGTTTAATATGTAAATTAGTAGATGCAAATACGTACAAGGACACAGACCTGCAAAAAGGACACAGACTGATTCCCTTCCAGAAATCTCCAGGCCCCAGCGCAGATGTGCACTTTGGAAACTTGGGGTTGCCAGACTCCACTTGCTGTCAACATTGTGGCTTCATTTCAGCTGCGATATAAGCAAAATTACTGTAAAGGGGATTATCCATTCCTCTACCCACCAGCGTCTGCATCCCAAGTCCTTTTAAGCCAAAATGCCTGATATATGTAAATGTATGCTTGCTGCTCGTTCCTGTTTCCCTGTTCTCTTTCTTTAAGCTCCCTCCAAACTGACTTCATTCTTAAGGAATAATGAGCAATGTAGAATATTGTAGAATTCACAGAGAAGGCAGAGAAGAAGACTGATGTTTCACAGTGCACAGGCCCTCATCTCAAATCCTCCCGTGAGAGGATGCTTTTTCCATACCTGTTTCTACGTCACAGCTTTGCACCTTCTCACACGCAGCCTCCTGGCCATCACCTCCTGCCTCCCTGGAGCAATTATTCTCTGGGGCCTCTTAAACTCTCCTCTTCTTTGAGCAATTCCCTGATTGCCAATCCTTTCCCACTCATTAATATCAACTTTAAATAGGTCTAAGGCCATTAAAGTGAGGATGAAGGATTTTGTCTACCCTCAGTAAACAAAAGATCCTCCAGCTACTTGGATCTATACTTTTCATATCAAGAAAGATTATAAATAATAAATATTTTTCTCCAGCCTGTCATGTATTAAATAAATGTTCTATTATTAATATGTTTCTCATGTAATAAATGTAAAACAAAAAGGGGAAAAGGTGGTCTTTTTCAATCTTTAGTCTGGAGCAGGTACTAGTGAATGTCCAGTCTCCAGGGTAGGGATGAGGTGAGGTCGGTCACAAGGTAAGGCCTCTCAGCAACAGAAGGGGGGACCAGGACACTCTCTGAGTGATGAGGTCAGAGACATGGGACAGGGATCAAGACAGTGACTTTGTTACTGGGACTAGATTAGAGGGGGATAATTACAGTTTCCGTTAGGATGCTTTTGGTCATAAGCAACAGAAAATCAGAAAAATCAAATTTAGGCAAAAATAGAATTTATTGACTTATCTAGCAAATATGATTTGATCCAAGGCTCACGAATGTCACAAAAATATTTTTCTTCATTTCTCTGTTCCCTTTCCTATTTTAACTCCATTCCTAGGCAGACTTTCTCCATAAAGTAGCAATACGGCTGTCAGATAACAATCAAGTAGAAAAGAGGTATCTTTTTTCCCCCCAGCATTACTGTACCAGCAAAGTGGGGTAAATTAAGACCCATGCCCATTCGCATGCAGGGGATGCATATATGATTGGCTTCTGTTTGGGTCGTGTGTTTCACCCCAAAACACTCAGGCTGGAGGTGAGGAAGGGCTGAATCCTTAAAGAAGAGTAGAGCTGTATCCAGAAGACTTCAAAATGGATACCAAGGAGGTAAGTAAAAGATGTTTCCTACACAAATCTGAGGTCTGACAAAGGCCTGAGCCATTGCGTATAACTGAGAAACAACAGAATTGCTGACTGGAGTTCCAGTTTGGGGCTTTATTTTTTGGTTTATTTTTATTGTAGGGTTTATTTTTAGGGTTTAGCATTATTTTAGGCTTTATTTCTCTTCCCTGAGTTTTCTAGCAGGTTTCAAGAGGCTCTAATTTTAGGAAAAAGGAACATATGATGCAGACTGGTCTTGACAATTAAAAAACAAAAACCAGTCTCAGAACTGAAAACAACATTACCTGCACCCTGTCTGTATAAGAAGCTTACATACAGGCTGGGCGTAGTGGCTTACATACAGGCTGGGCGCCTGTAATCCCAGCACTTTGGGAGGCCGAGGCGGGCAGATCATGAGGTCAGGAGTTTGAGACCAGCCTGGCCAATATGGTGAAACCCCATCTCTACTAAAAATACAAAAACTTAGCCAGGCGTGGAGGTGCCCACCTGTAATCCCAGCTACTCAGGAGGCTGAGGCAGGAGAATCGCTTGAACTCGGGAGGCAGGGGTTGCAGTGAGCCAAGATCACACCACTGCACTCTGGCCTTCTGGCCTGGGTGACAGAGCGAGACTCCATCTCAAAAAAAAAAAAAAAAAAAAAAGAAGAAGCTTACGTAGAGTATTAAAGAGGTAATATGTGAATTTTATTTATTACCGTAGTAGAACTCTTTTATATATATAAAGGTTTTGATTCTCAAACTGCCCCATAAGAATTATCCTCAGAAATATAAATCTTTCAGACTTCAATAATATTCAAAGCCCTCATGAAGACTGGCTTTCTAAAAAGCTGTTGCTCTTCCTACCAACCCCTGTCTTTCTTTAATTGAAAGAAACTTTGATCCAGGCAGGTGAGCAAGTGAGGCTGATGGGTGATATTTTCCAGATGCATTTTAATTGGAAGCTAGTTTTCCAAGGTATTTTCCTGGTTCATTATTTGTAATTAGTTTTGCTAAAAATTTTTGTGCTATTTTAATTCTGTTTAAAAACCTCCTTGTTCATAAGATATAATTGCTTTACAAGGAAAGGAAGAATAATAAGGGAAATTGTACCTTAAAATCCAATAGCCTGAATACAAGCCTCAACTCTACCATGTAATAACTTTGTGGTTTTGAGAATATGTATATCTCTAAGCTTCATTTTCATCATCTCTAAAATGGAGATAATATTAACATGCAGGGCAATTGTGAGGATTAAATGAGAAAACTCAAGTAAAAAGTCTCTGACACATCCAGAAACATATACAAGCTCAATAAATGTTATTTCCCATTGTCGTCTTCCCTAACTTCTAACAAAGTAGGGATCTTACATCAGAGGAGAACTTCTCAGCTCTATATTCCAATGCAGAAGGGGCATCTGGTGATCATTAAAATATCTGAGAAACATTTTTTAAAATCTTATTTTTTTTCCTCCTTTAAAGAATATCCAGAGAATTCACTGGAGTCTGTTCATAGGTCATGTTCAAACTAGGAAAATGACCGCTGTCTGCAGGGCACCCAGGTGAATTGGGAGAAGTTAAAGTGCCATCTCCTTTGAGAAGCCTCCCTTGATCCCCCAAGGCTGATCCAGGTGGCCATTTTTTCCCCCAGCTCCCTGGTACAACACCTCCAGAACAGGAGCTAGCAAACTACAAACCAGGGGTTAAATCCAATCCACCATCTATTTTTTTGTACAGCTTGCAAGCTAAGAATGATTTTTTACATGTTTAAATGATTGGAAAACATGAAATGAAGAATAGTATTGCATGACACATAAAAATGAGATGAAATCCGAGTTTCAGTCTCCACAAATCCTATGTTGTTGAAACATAGCTGTGCTCGTACATTTGAGTATTGCCTATAGCTGCTTTTGCATTACAATGGCAGAATCAAGTAGTTGTGACAGAGACCACATAGCCATTAAAGCTGAAAATATGTATTGTCTGTTGAACCCTTATAGAAAAAGCTTGCCAACTTCTCTAGAACATTCACAATTGAGTCATACTGCACGTGTTTCCTCCAGGCTCTATATCCCTTGAGGACTGGGACTGTCTTTCATCTTTGTGTCTTTAGCATCTAGCACAGTGCCTGGCAAATATTAGGCATCTGTAAATTTGCATCTTTCCCCTTTTTGGGTATCTCTAGTAAGGTGTCTTCTTACTGTAATCCACAATAGGTCTGTCCCAGGGTATCCAGCCTTCAGTCATTCTCTGCATCCCATGGGTACTTAAAGGTCTGATAATTGTAGGTGTGGCCAGAGCCTGTTGAACCTTTCAGGTATCTGAAAACTAGAGAAGGGATCACTGGAAGGTTCCTTTTCTCTGTATCCTGTTTTCTGAGGTGGTATAGTGTCAGGGAAGGAGCACTGGATGTTGAGACTTGGCCTGATGAGGCTGTCCTCAACTAACGACTTCCGGGTTGTGTGATCTTGGGAATAAACCACCTAAGTATCACTTTCTTCATCTGTGGTATAGAGATAAATATTACCCCACAAACCTCACTGGGTCTTGATTATGTTGGAGAATACCTGCCTCTGGTGGGTTCAGGGGCCTTGTCTGTTTTGTTTACCTTTATATGTCCTGGTTTGCACAATGCCTGGCACACAGGAAACCGGAGGTTCTCAGCTGAGGCTGAACATTAGAATCAGCTGCGGACTTTTAGCTGACCACCAACACAGAGCACCACCCCAGACCAATTCAAATAGAGACTCTGGGAATGGATCTGGACATCAGGTTTTTATTTTTCAAGCTCCCTAGGTGATTCTGATACTTAGGCAGGATTCACAGCCCCTGTTGTGGAGTGCTCAATAACTATTTGCTGAATGAATGAATGGGATGAAGTTGTTCCTGCAGATGCTTTGCTCCTCTGTGCTTTGAGATGCTAACTAAAGAAGTCAGGATTTTTTTTTGCGTCAGGGATAAAATGTACTGTTCCTCACTGATTGAGTCACTCTCTCCAGTTCACGGAGGTCTGATTCCTGTCTTCTTTACCCTTCACTGACTTGCATGACTGATAATTCTCTTGTTATGTATTTGACCCTTTTGCCACTCCTGCCTTTTGTCCTCCACTTCCTTTTCATCCTTGTTCTTGTCAGTTTCCCCTTCTCCTTTGTAATCTTCTCAGGCTATTTTTCTTGCTGTTAAGTTCACTAGTAGCACTCGCTTACCACCCATAACACCAGGTATTTTCAACTATTGCCATTTTTTTCTTGGGGCTAAATTAGTTTTACCCTGTGCTTCACATCAGAAAATAAATCTCTAGACACTTCCTTTTTCACTCTCTAAATTTCTGTGTCTGGGAATAAATAGATAGTTGCAGAAGCTTTCAGCTAGTTGAAGAAGTAGGAAATCCAACTTCTCACTTTGCAGAAAAGAAAACTGAGGCTCAGCAAGAGGAGCAGCCTGCTCTGGGTCACAGAGTGAGCTTATGGCCCAGCTGGGGCTGGATCAGAGATTTCATCAGGTCCAGTTCACGTGCCCTTCAGACTGCCACACAGCCTGATAGGTAGGCCCTAGGGTGTTTTGGACAATTCATTGCCTCTCTGTCACGGGGGTCGGCACCTTTCCAAAGCTGCATCTTGCCAGACTCTATTACTTTGATCTCTCAAAGGAGAAGGGAGTGTTGCTAGTAGTAGTCACATGTAGGTGTGGGAGGGCCTGGCTGACCACTTTGGTTTAGTGACACTCCAGAGGACCCAGCCCTGCATGTGTAAGCCTCCTGGCATACAGACCAGGAGAAGCAGGTGATGACAGATGTCCCGGAGGGGCAGCAGAGCATCAAGAGAGCTTTCCCCATAACCACGTCTAGCTGCACCCCCAACAATGACATGGTCATGAAGAGCTAGGCACTTTCCTGCCTGCAGAGACCTGCACTGTCCAATACAGTAGCCCCTAGCTATAATTAAAATTCATGAAAATAGGATTAAATTAAAGCCTCATTTATTTAGTTGCACTAGCCACATTTCAAGTGCTCAGTAGCTTCTGAATTACTGTATTCAAGGCTACCATATTGAACAACATAGATATAGAGCATTTCTAACATGCCAACAATTCTTTTGGACAGGCAGCTCCAGATGCTTGGGTAGGATGAGTTAGTCTACAGAATGAACACCACAGCTAAGGACAATTAAAAAGAGGTCTCCCCATGCTGTTCTTCTCAGGTTCTGAGATTCCAAGGCTGGTGGTGCAACCAATCAGCACCTTGTCTCCCCTCTCACATCCTGCCATCTCCATGTATGGTTTATTTCCCTATGAGACTCTGAGCTTCTTGGGAGCACTGTCTGTCATTGATTAATTTTGTTTCCACAGAATAAAGCACAGGACTTGATATAGGATAGGCCTCAGTAAAATGTACTAAATAAAATTGTGAGTTAATGTTCTTTAACCATTCAGTATTATTTTTAAAACAATTGTATTCAATACAATGGCAAAAGAAAAATCTGTCTTTTTGGTAAAGAGGAAGACATATTGAAACTAGCTGTTGCTTACGTGGGAATCAGTGTTAAGTTTCCTTCTCCTGGGGGAGAAGGCTCTGACACTTTGCTGGGGGTGAAGGGCAGTAGGACAGGAGGATGGCAGGGCTGAGCACAGGTTCTCAGTAAACATAGGCTTACAAACTAATCCTCCACTTGGGGATTAGCTCTGCCTCTTGCACAGGGTTCTGGGATGGAATTTCTACTGATAATTCTAAGCCAGAAGGCAATGTGGAGTGGTGAACTAGGAGGCCAGGGGTCCAAATTTAAATCCTGGCCCCAAAATCAATGAGCTGTTTCGTGAAATTTAGTCTTTTCATGACAGTCCAGGCTGGTAATAAACTCTGTCCTCCCCAGTGCACAGACAGGATTGAAGTGAGGCTCAAGTGAGATTAAGTCCTAGGAGAAGCTTTGTAGCCTGAACAATGTATGTCACCGTGAGGGATAGTGGTCCAGAGGGTTACTCTGAGCAAGTTTTATTAGACTATGGGGCCTACCATCGTCTAATTAAAAACTCTGGAAATGCTAGAAACTGCTCTGGAAATGCCAGCAACCCCTATGGAAATGTGAATTTTTCCTTTTGGCAAGTGATGTTTGTACTTGCCAATCAATTGCCTGGTTCAATCCTAGATTTATTAAAGTAATGCAACAGCCACAAAAATCTCTGGCAAGTCAACAACAACAAAAAAAGGGCTTAAAAAAAAGCTGACCTAAAAGACCCAGCACATCCCACTGCCCATGTTGTCTTCAAGCCAACCAGAAAGTGATAGAGCAAGGGTGAGATTCAAATCCATATTTTCTGACTGCAAACCTTAAGCTTTCTCCAGGGCTCTCTGGATGCCTGAGCTATGGCTCAAATCAGTTCTCTACCAGACATGCCATAATTTGGGTTTATGATAAGGCTAAACATTTCTTGTTCCCTTTAGAAAAATCTAGGTAATTTTGGAAGGTTTTCTGGTCTGAGATAATCTCATTCAAATATTTTGATCCTATTTTGGATTACACCAACTTTGCTGATAATTCTATGTAGTTATGGCAACAAATAAATGTTAATGTTCCCCAAGAGTACAGCTAACCTTTTCATTATCTAGTTAACTTTTCACAACCCCTATCTGGCACCATTTCCTAGTATTTGGAGACTGATGGGATACAGACCTGGCAATATTCCTTATTCCTTTTCAGGTTAAAATCCCTTCCAGGAGTGCTTCACAGTCAGGTGCTTTTATTAATTCAGTCATTTTCTCTCAGCCAGCAGTTTCTTGACAAGCCCATAGGCTGTGGCTTGACCCTTACTGAACCTACACCGTGGACATCAGTGGGGTTCCGTGTGTCCTAATGTAGCCTGAAGGTACAACTTGCAGTATTAAGTGTGGGATGGAGTGAGGTCAGGGACAGATCTGTCACTTACTCAGTGGTCCTGAGCCTTGATGATTTTACCCATCTTATAAATGAGAATAACAATCTTAGCTTTGCCTACCTCCCAGGGTAAAATGGATTTAAGAGACATTGATTGTTATGGGTTGAATTGTGTCTCCTCCAAAATTCCTGTGTCAAATATCTACTCCCAATAGCTCAGCATGTGACCTATGAATTGCAACAATTCAGTCACATCTTCACGCTCTGTCATGCAGGCTGGAGTGCAGTGGTGGGATCTCGGCTCACTGCAACCTCTGCCCCCCGGGTTCACGCCATTCTCCTGCCTCAGCCTCCTGAGTAACCGGGACTACAGGCATCCGCCACCACACCCGGCTAATTTTTTTGTATTTTTTTTTAGCGGAGACGGGGTTTCACCATGTTAGCCAGGACGGTCTCGATCTCCTGACCTCGTGATCCGCCCACCCCAGCCTCCCAAAGTGCTGGGATTACAGGCGTGAGCCACCACCCCTGGCCCCTTCAATAGCTTTTTATTTGTATTCAGAATTTGGCTAGAGGCCAATTTGACACAAGAGGCTTAGCTTTCAGCTTATCTTGGCTTTTGACATGCTTTCTTCACTAAGCTTAGTCATTTCTAACTTTTGATTTAAAGTGAGAGATGTGTGACTCTTCCTTTCACTTGAACACCTGGAGGCCATTGTAGGGTTGTTAATTGATCTAATTGTCTCAAGTTACAGGGAAATCCAAGGAGAGGGAGAGAGACATGGGAATGGCCAATTCATAGAGCAGTCAAAACACGCACATTTATCTATTAAGTTTGCCATCTTATATGGTGTGGTTTGTGATACTCCAAACAGTTGTAATATTAACTTCAAGGATCACTGATCACAGATCACCATAACAGATATGATAATAATGAAAAAGTTTGAAGTATTGCAAGAATTACCAAAATGTGACACAGAGACATGAAGGAAGCACATGCTGTTGGAAAACTGGCACCAGTGGACTTACTTGGTGAATGCAAGGTTGCCACAATCCTTCAATTTGTAAAAAACTCAGTATTTGTCAAGTGCAATAAAGCAAAGTCAACAAAACAATGTATGCCTGTATGTATTTTGCATTTGCTGGAAACCACATAAAATACTTTACTGATTTTGTGAAGTGAACAAAATGTCTCCATCAGCCAAAGGGGTAATCCTTGATTCATTCTTCCTCCTGAGATTTAGCACATAGAGCCCAGGAGCAGAAGCCAAGGGTGGCCTGCCTGGTTGGCCGCCCTGTGCCACCAGTCCACTTCCGGCTGAAGCCTTGGCCTGCCCCATGTTGGCTCCAACCCAGCTCCCACCAGTCGCTCATGCCAAAGGAAAAAATTCAACATATGCTTTTTTGACTCCTGATTCACCACCCTCTCCACCACAGGCATGGATCTCAGACTCTTCTTTAACACGCTGAAACTGAGTTTATTTAGCTTGTCTCATCTCTCTTTGAAAAACAATTGCTGCATATTCTGAGCTGCCTTCTCAGTCCCATGCTTCTCTGTTATGGATGACAATCCTACTTCTCCCAGACTTTGCCAATCATTTTAAAGAAGCTTTTCAAATGCTGTGAGCAGCTGTGTGTGTGTGTGTGCACATGTGTGTGTATAATGTCAGTGTGTTGGGCTCCCTCACCAGAGAGTCAGCTCCAAAATGTCAGAACCCCAGGTCTCTCTTGCTCAATCAGTACCTAGCGCATGATTGGGCTACAACATGATTACTGAATGCATA
Organism: Homo sapiens; assembly: GCF_000001405.40. Classification (NCBI taxonomy): domain Eukaryota; kingdom Metazoa; phylum Chordata; class Mammalia; order Primates; family Hominidae; genus Homo; species Homo sapiens. The sequence continues at coordinate 377,700 of NW_025791769.1, read as the reverse complement.
AATGAATGACTTTTATGTGAGAAAGGTGGTATGATCTAACTTTAAGAATTTAAGACCGTCAAAACCTGTGGTTTAATTATTACATCCAGAAATAACATTTACTAGCTGTGTACAAGTGAACAAATCACCACTCAGAAGAGCCTCAGCATTGGAATCTGTGGAATGTAGATAATGCTAACTTCTCTGCTTAGCTAAAAGAAATTGGGAAGTTCAAATGAGGTAAAGAATGGTGTGGTTGTTTTATGCACCAACTTGGCTAGGTTGTTGTACTCAGTTATTTAATCAAATACAAACTTAAGTTGTTGCTGTGAAGGTATTGTGTAGACATAGATAACATATACCATTAGTTGACTCTAAGTAGAAGAGATTATACTCTCCAACTGGATGGATCTTATCTAATCAGTTGAAAGGTTTTAGGAGCAAAAAACCGAATTTTCCCACAGAAGAAGAAATTCTCCCTCAAGACTGCAGCAGCCAGTCCTGCCTGAATTTCCACCCTGCTAGCCTGCCTTACAAATTTTAAACTTGCCAGTCCTCACAATTACATCAGCTAGTTCCTTGAAATAACTCATACATATATGATTATAAATAAATGATAAATATAAATTATTTATTTCAAGGAATATATACATAAGCATTATATGCATATTGGCCATCTACATATATATAGTTTTTCCTCTGGAGAACACTGACTGATACAGGTGACATCATGTTGGTCAGTATGGAGGGTTATGAAATGAAGGGCAGGGAACCAAGGGAGGAAGTCAGAAGTTTCACTGCCAAGCCAAGGGAAACCGAGAGGCTGGGAGTGCCAAGTACTGCAGTCTCTCTGTCTTCCTTGGAAATGTGCATCACTGCAATGCTTTCTGCAGGAAGGAAGGTGTCCCAGATGGTTTAAAGGTCCCACCTCCCCAGGTCCTGGCTGGGGCGGGGCTGGCATACACATTCTCAGGGGGTTGAGTGTGTAGGAAATAGATATTAACAAACAGGCCCCTAAGGTGGGAAAGAGAGGGCATCAGGGGCAGCAAAACTTGGCAGCTCCTTGCACCCTACCCTTGCAGAAAAGACACAGAGCTGTCTGTGTGGGCGTTCTCCTGGCCGACACTATCCTAATTAGTATAGGCCCCCTCTGGAGCTGCAGCTTCTTTTATTAATGCCTTCATTAAAAGGTCTCCCCTAATCAGTCAGCTGTGGAGCGTGCTTACAAGAAGAAGTTTCTCTGGGCTCATACACAGGCCTTGTATCTGAGAAAGAAAAGTATCCAGTTTATGTGTGCAGGGTTAGAGGGTCTTCTAGAAACCTTTTTGCAGACAGTGCTTGCCCTTAACCAGTCTCTTCCACTCTCTTTGCACTCCTCCTCCCACCCTACAGGCATTTGATGTGACAAATAAAAACTAAACCCTATGCAGCACATTGGACTCACACCTTATTCTCAAAAAGAAACAAAGTTTTGCAAAAGTTCTTAGCCAACCTAAATGAGCAAGTGGCTCATTGAAATAGGAAATGTTATATCTTATGCTCCTTCACTGTAATAATAACAGCAACACTAATTATTCTTCACATTAGTATATCAGCTGGTGATTTAAAACATGTATTCATCTCCATTATCTGCCCAGTGCCTGCTATGTGCCATTCTCTGAAGTTGGCACTGGGAAGTCAAAGATGATTGACTTGAAAGTAGGATATTTTATTCATCAGGAAAAAATGATCATGAAAACATTATGCTGAGAAGATGCACCGCAGGAAGCTCTGGGAAGGGATAGCCAATTGTCTGGAGAATTAGAAAAAGTCTTTAGAGGAAATGTGAATAAGCTAGGTTGTTTGAGAAAGAAAAACAATCATGCATTTAGGAATACATACACACATATACATACATTTAGGAAAAACTTTAGGATATTCCTCTCTTTCCCCACAGTTCCATGATGAAAGGTCTTTTTGGGATCAAGACCTTGGAGCGGGGCATGGTGCATAATGATGAAATTGTGATATGCAGCCTGGGTGGTGGCCATGTGTCTCTAGGCATTTTGTGGTGGGGCCCGAACCCATAGGAAGCTGTAGTAGAAGCAGTCCCGGAAGGGGAGGCAGGAGGCCTGGGTGCTAGATCTCGCTCTGCTGAAAAGTCAGCATTTGACTTTGGGGAAGTCATTTCTCCTTCTAGACTTCAGTCTCTTCATGTGTTAAATTAGTTCCGTTTTCTTTGTTTAATATTGAAAGCTTCTTTCCAGATATAGACAGAAAACTGAAAAGTAGGTGAAATTGATAGAACAGAGCTATTTTCATTCTTAGGCTCATTATTCTTCCCACTGAAGCTGGGGAATGGGTAAGAGCCACAGCAGCCTTTTTTCCCTTTTTACTCCCAAAGGAACCCCAGAAGCATGTCTCTTTCACTCTTGAGCACTGAAGAGCAGTTTGAAAGCCATAGGACCGAGGGCTCTTGGAATCCTCTACTCTGAAAGCAAGTACTTCTATGAAACTCACCAAGAAATCTGGTTTTTAAAAAAATGATAACAGCCAATAGCTAATATTTATGGAATATTGTTTATCAGGTTGTGTTCTAAGAGCCTTTCGCAACCCCGTAAGTTAGGCATATTGTCATCACCATTTTAGAGATGAAGTAAATGGAACATGAAAGGGCTGTGACTCACCCAGGGCCATGCAATTTTTAAGAGGCAAGATTCAAACCCAGACAGTACGGCTCCAAAGGCCATGATAATAAATAATAACCATTATGCTATACTGCTTTTTAACAGTCCCACAAATGTGTTCCTTGACATTTGCTTAAATAGCTCAAGCTATAGCTTAAGTTCATTTATTTTTAAGCCCATAACAGAAGTAACCAATTGAAGAATTAAATATGTCATCCTATAACCTAATTGCTGTTCTTTAGAACAAAGTTATGATGAGGAGTTTGTTTTCCTGAATGTAGCTGGGCGATATTTTTCTGCTCTACTGAATTCCATTTCTTCTTCCTCTCTCCATATTCCACAGGCCCTGATTTTTTTCCTTTGGTGGAGAGGAAGAACAGCTGGTCCCCATCTTCATAATATCCTCCATTTGGCCACCATTAACAAATTTATCAGCCTCCCCAGATCTAAGCAAAAGCAGCAGAAAAGATCTAGGTATCCCCATATCCCACAGCACTGGGCAGGGGTCTGCACTGAGTTGCTGGTTTCAGGACAGTCAGAGAAGTTCTGGGAAAGGGACAAGAGTAAGCTCCCTGCAAAGTCCTAGCCTCCAACCTCAGCTGAGCCCTCGCCACTCATCACTAAGTTTTTATTTCCTGTTTTCTAATGTCTGATTGCTTCCCAAAGCAGTCGTGCAAATTCTTCTCCACATTTCCACGTCTCAAACTGCACCCTATTTCCTCAGTTTCCCCAGTTCACAGCTTGTCTTTGATTTGCCAGCAGGGATCTTCTCTGCTCTGAGCTTCCTCAGCTTCCTGTGGCTCACTAGGAAAATCTTTCAGAGCTCCTCCCCGTTCTTTTCTCCTTTTCTTTTCCTTTTGATGAAGAAGTGCCCTGTATCCTTCCCCATGGACTCCTGGCCTTACCCTGCCCAGCTCTCCCCAAGCACTTAGCTCTGTCCACTCTCTCTCTTAAGTCTCCTGCTCCCTCAGTTGCTTTTTCTCCTCCCACTCTATGCCTTCAACCAACAAATAATGCAGGTTTCACTCATTTCAAACAGACCTTTCTTTGATCTAGTTTCCTAGTCTTCGCATCATCTTATTGTCCTTTCCGCTACCAAATCATGTGTTCATTTTTTCTTCTCGAGATGGAGTTTCACTTTCGTTGCCTAGTCTGGACTGGAATGGTGTGATCTTGTCTCACTGCAACCTCCGCCTCCTGGGTTCAAGCAATTCTCCTGCCTCAGCCTCCCGAGTAGCTGGGATTACAGGTTCGTTCCCCCATGCCCAGCTAATTTTTGTGTTTTTTTAGTAGAGACGGGGTTTCACCATGTCCGCCAGGCTGGTCTTGAATTCCTGACCTCAAGTGATCCGTCCGCCTCGACCTCCCAAAGTGCTGAGATTACAGGCATGAGCCACCGCGCCCGGCCGATGTTTTCATTCTTCCAGCACTTCTCTCTCCTCATTCTTCCTTGTAAACCCGAATCACAGCTCCTCCTCAAAAATCACTCCTGAGGTCTCAGCCGTCATCTCTAGCCACCATCATAAAACACTAGACTTCTGCCAACCCATAACTTCTTCCATGCCCTGTCACTAACTTGCTCTGTGATTCTGGGAAAGTCTGGCCTCTTTCTGGACCTCAGTCCTTTCAAATGTGAGTTTTCAAAGTTTTTAAAGCTTAATTCAAACAACGGTATTTTCAGAATCCTAACGTGTACAACAGATAAAAGGCACGGTGGTCACGGGTATAAATGTGTGTATATGTATTTATTTATACGTTAATATATATTCTTTGACCTGGTCAGCAGGAAGTATAAATGTGTATGTATGTATGTATGTGTGTGTGTGTGTGTGTTTATGCATGTGCACATGTGTGCATGTCTGTGTAGGGGCCAATGAGAACCTCGGATAACTTGAATGAGTAGCTCAGCTTCTTTCCCCTGAAAAATTCCCACTCTGTTCAGAATTGGGTTCTCAGCAGGTCTATTTTAAAATGTGACTCTGACCCATGGACACAGTCAATTGCTTCAGGAATAGGCACTGAACACCAGCAGAGCCAATCAGAACCCTTCTGAGGGCCTAAGAAATTCCAGTTTCAGTCTGATTTAATCCTCATGATAGACAGCCTCCAGGATGACCCTTAATAATCCCACCTCCTGGTGTTCACATCTTTATGTAATCCCCTCACTTTCAGTGTGAGCTGGATTTAGTGGATATCACATGGCTGAAGTTATGCCATGTAACTTCCTAGGTTAGATTACAGAAATAATGTGGCTTCTGCCATAGGGGCCCTATCTGGGGCTCTCTGTCTGTTATAGTTTGTACATTTGTTCCCACAAACCTCATGCTGAAATTTGGTAATGATGAAGTTGGGGCCTCATGGGAGATGTTTGGGTCATGGGGGCAGGTCACTCATGAGAGGCTTGGTGCCATCCTCAGAGTAATGAGTGAGTTATCATTCTATTAGTTCCTGAGAGTGAGTTATCATTCTATTAGTTCCTGAGAGTTGGTTGTTTAAATGAGTCTGGCACCTCCCCACTTTCTTTCCAGCCTCCTATCTTGCCATGTGATCTTTGCACATGCTGCTTCCCCTTTGCCTTCTGTCATGGGTGAAAGGAGCCTGAAGCCCTTACTAGAAGTAGATGCTGGAGCCATGTGTCTTGTACAGCCTGTGATCCAAATAAACCTCTTCTTTATAAATTACCCAGCCTCAGGTATTCCTTTACAACACTAAATGTCTCTCTCTTTCTCAGATCAGTCATGTGGAGGAAAGTAAGTTGCCATGTTATAAGCAATAATATGAAGAGGGCTGTAAGGCTTAGCAAGGCACTGAGGTTTCAGTCCTACAGCCCACGAGGAACTGAAGCTTGCCAACAATCACATGACTGGGTTTGGAATTAAATCATCTGAAGCCTGCCAACAGTAATGTGAGCAAACCTGGAAGCAGGTCCTTTTCATCCTTTGCCCAACCCACTCCCCACTTGAACCTTCAGAAGAGACCAAAGTTGTGGACAACAACTTAACTGCAGCCTCTTTGCAAACCTTGAGCCAGAGATACTCAGAGAAACTTGGCCCACAGAAACTTTGAAATAATACATTCTTGTTGTTTTAAGCCACCAAGTGTTGGAGTAATTTGTTACATAGCAATAGATAACTAAAACAACCCTTGACCAGGGAAGTGTCAGCCTGGGAGCTCTAGGAGACCATGTTTTACTGTGTCCCAGAAAGCAGACACAATAAGTCTGCAGTGACAGAGAAGGTGAAGTCAATGTGAAGTAATTCCTTGTGGCCTTCAGCGCCTTGGTTCCAGTTTACTTCTGAGACATAGTTCACCCTTGCCTTTGAAAATTCTGTTACTCATAATTGAGGACTGAAATGAAAGCCCTAAGCCTCTCCAACAGACTAATGGATGCTCCTTTGGTTAAAATAGACCCTACAAATTTTAAGATCTTGACATAACAAGATGAGAGGCTGGTCATGTTCTCTTTGCTGCCATGACCCACCCCTCACTTTCCATTACTAATCATTAATAGATTTTCTCAAAAGCAAGCTGGGGAGAACAAAAGACTGGAAGAACCCCTCACTTACTTCATCCAACCACCCAGTGCCCTTCTCCTATTTTTTGGCTCTGACATGACTTCTATCCCAGTGTACAAACTTCTCCTTGATAGCTGACAGCTGGCTGAAGACTGATTTTGGTTTTCTTAAGATGCTCAGAAAGCAGCCCTATGCATCATGCTTTACCTTTGTACATATAAGAGCTAATTATAATGTATTTAAATGTTAAGTCTCCACCCCAAAGTGAACATGGGTTATATGTTTCATACATGTAAACCTAATGTGCATGCACGTCTCCTTCATGAATATTAATAAACTCCTCCTATATACTGATGAATATGTATACTCTGCCATCCTGTTTAGCATACATTCCTACCTCTAATTCCTCCTCCTTGAAGCACAGATTTCTGATTTGCAGGAGGTTTCACTTCATGCCTGCCGGATATAGTCCTCCTTTAGAAACAAAGCTCTCCTTCCTAAAATTACTGACTTTGTGAATTTTTTGGTCAACATAATGAAAGTCTTTTTTTTCTCCGCTATTTGTATTTGTAATGAAATACAGGGGCTCTAACACATACATCCTCTTTCTTTTGCCATGCCATCCTGCAGGATGACCCAGGCATTGTCCATGCTGTGGAACTTTCCTTTCCTTGACCAGATGTCCCTCTCCTCTCCAGATAGCCAGAGACACTTTTCTGTGTGCTTCCTTAGACATCTAACATGTTTGAGATATTTACCACAATTCTGAGACTGTGCAATGCACCTGTCCGGTTTCCCAGTTAAAAGAATGAAATTGTTTCATTCATCTCTGTGTTCTGCCAACACCTTATGAAATGAGTTTGTTAGCCAATAAAATAGAGTAGTATTCAAGACACAACAGCTTTCCTCCTATAAAGCAGATTTTCAGTACGTATTATCATTTATAAATTCTGAAAATCTGATATCAAAAAATGCCTGTGTGCATGTGAACTTCAGTAGAGAGAAGGAATACATCCTGGGAAGGTTTCATGAAAACATCATTTGAGCTAGACTTTGACTAAGAAATAAGATTTTGACAGCTAAAGGTAAGGGGCCAGGTAAAGTCCTTCAGGTACACAGAACAGCTTGAGCAAAAGCATTGAGACATAAAAGTGCCTGAAGTATTAGAGGCATCATAAAGTAGTAAGTGGACTGAAGGGTTTGTAGTACATATCATAGAAAACAAGGCTAGAAAGGCTAGAAAGATAGTGGAGAGCCTCAAATTCCTTTGTCTGTGTTTATTTTGTGTTCTAGTATTAAGGAGAACTTCGTGGGGTGCAAGGATTAAAAGATGGCATCATAATAGCTGGGTTTTAGGAAGAGAACTCTGTAGTATAGATTAGGCAAGAGGATTGGTGGAAGACGGATACAGGAACAACAATTCAGTGACCGGTCTGGCAGTGTCAGTAGGAAAAGAGGCAAAGGGAAGACTGAAGTGATTTGGGAGGCAGGCTCTGTCCTGGTCTGCAACTGGGCTTGGAGTGTTTACAGTCCAGGGTAATGATTCCACCGGGCTGCCTGGTGGAGAATAACTCATGAGCTGGCACTGAGGATAGGACAGAGAGGATGTTGTCTTTTTTATCAGAAGTCCGCCCATAGGCAATAGTCAGATAAACCATGAAACATTCATTCAGTAGAATATTATATAGGCACTACAAAATATAAATGAGGCAGGTTATAGAAAAAAGGGGGCTAGTGGGAAACTATGAGATAGATCAAAATTGAATAATAAATTACAAAGGAGATGGGAAAGAAGTTGGAGATACAAAGGAAAAGTTGATGTGGAACAAACAGCTGGAACCATATGGATGAGCATGTAATGGATGTCTTGGAGACAGCATTTGTAACTCAGTGTGTGAGGGGAGGTGCCCTAGCCACTTCATAGAGCAGGGCTCATACACCAAAGGCTACAGGACTCCACTTGAAAGAGCACCCAGATAAGAAAAATGTCCAAAGTGTGTGCCCAATTTGATAACATAATAATAGCGCAGATGTAGAGTTCCGAGATGAACTGTTCCCATTCAGCACTGTTCAAGGAGGTGCCCACCTTGCACTTTACATTCCAGTTATAATAAACTGATTGTATTTTCCCAAATTCATCAGACATTATGCCTCTATGTCTTTGAAAATGTGGATGTCACTGTTTGAACTGATTTTCTCTGTGTTAATGTGAAACACTCTTATTTATGCTTCAAAACTCAACTGTAAAAAGAAAGAGACAGAAAGAATGAAAGGGAAGAAGGCAGGGAGGGGGAAAGAAGAGAGAGAGAGAGAGAAAGAAAAGAAAGAAGGAAAGAGAGAGAGAGAGAGAGAGAAAGAGAGAGAGAGAGAGAGGTATTCTCCCCTCCACACCAAAAAAGTAAGAAAAAAAAAAAAACCCAACTTACATAAATCCAACTCATAGAATTCTAATATAAAATCTGTAGCATCCCTAGATAAAGCATCATTATTTTTTCATATGAAACTTTCCTTACATAACATGCACAGAAAAAGGTAAACACAAAACACTAAAAACTGAGGTGATATCCTTCTAGGATGTTTTTCATCTGCATACTCAGGTTACCTCCTCACGAGGGAGACTCTTCCTGAATAAAAGTGCTGAATAAACATAATGTAGTATCACCATTGTATAAAAAGGTATGGGTTCTATGTTATGAAGCAAACAGAGCTTCCTATGTCATACATGGGTGTGCATGCACACAAACACCCACACACGCTACTTTCCAAGCATCTTTCTGCACTGAATTTAAAGACAGAAACTTTGAGAAAGCAACAAAACTGGGTATGATGTTTAAGTGCATAGTATAGGGGCATAGTGGGGAGTGCAAGGACTATAGAGGTGGAGATAGAGGTTGATGATGGCTGATGATATCTTTGGAAGTGTACATCCTACAGAGAAAGAGCTGTAGGTGGTGAGGAAATATTGAGCTGGTTTAAACAATATGCACTGGAGAAAAGTTGAGTCTTGGCATTCTGTTATTATTGGTTTAGAGTATATCCTTGTAAAAATAAGCAAGAAAATCAATCAGTAAACAGGTAAATGTAAATAACAATCTATAAAAAAGGTTCAAACTGTTGAAAAATATTTGAAAAAGTTAACATTATGCATAACTTTAAAACTCCAAATAAAACCTTGGATATCCATTTTTAGTTTTCATATAGATGACAATTTTGAAAAATAGTAATACTCAAGCACTCTCATACGCTACTAGAGATAATTAAGTGCTTTCTGGAGGACAATTTGACAATGCATATCAAGTGTCCAAAGATTAACTATGTCCTTTGATCCAAAAACTATATTACTAAAAAAATCATAATAGAAAAATAAACAAAGATGCATATTATAATTTATGAACAATGATGTTTATCACAGCACTACTTATGAGCAAAAGTTAGAAAACATCACAAATCCTTATTGATAGGAAAATGATTAAATACACAAAATATTTAAAAAGTTTTATGTTATTAATTACAAATAATAATTTTAGAGTAATGATACAGGAATATGTTCACATTATAATGTGAAAAAAGTAAAATATAAAAATCTGTACTTACAGACTAATCTTGATGTTGTAATAAAATAAAACATATATTTTATAGTTACATGCAAAACAAAAGACCTGAAAGGCATATGTAGTTTACAGATAATTATAATATTCATCTTTATTTTTATTTATTTTCCATATTTTTACAATTAACATTTGTTACTTCTCCAATAAAAGGAAAAAACAACTAATATATTACCTCCTCTTTACCCTAATCCTGACAGTCATTTTATTTGTTGTGCCATTTTTATGCTTATACAAACTTTTAATATTTTAACATTTAATGCTTTATTTTCATTTTAAAAATTAATTTGTCTTAACTCATTGATTCATCAAATACTTACTGAAACCTATTACATTCCAGACGCTGTTCTATGTACTGTCGATTAAGCAGGGACAAACAAAACCCTTATGTCTTTGATTTATATGGCCTAGAATATGGTTTATCTTGGTAAATGTTTCAGGTGCACTTGAAAAGAATGTCTGTTTTGCTGTTTTGGGGTGGAGTGTTCCGTAAGTGTTCAATTGTTCTCTGTCTTTTCTGGTTTTCTGTTGACTCGTTCCATTGATTACAGAGAAGGATGTGGTGAAGCCTCCAACTATATTTGTGGATTTGCCTATTTGTACTTTCACTTTTATCAGTTTTTGCTACATGTATTTCGAGGTTCTGATGTTAGGTGCATATACATTTAAGATTGTTATGTTTTCTTGGTGAATTGATCTTTAATCATTACAGAATGTCCTTTTTGAACCTGTTAATTCTTTATTCTATGGTCTTTTTTGTCAAATATTAATATAGCCACTGAAGTTTTCTTTTGATTAGTGTTTACATGGTATATTTTTCCATATTTTTACTTTTAACCTATAAACATCATTATATTTTAAGTAGGTTTCTCATAGATAGCATTTATCTTCTGCATTTTAAAATCCATTCTGACAATCTGTCTTTAAATTGGTATTTTTAGTCCACTTATATTTAACGTAATTATTGATATTGTTGAATTTGGGCCTACGAATTTCTTTCTAAAAAGTTTCTCTAATTTTTCCCTTAACATCTGTTGGACTTGATCTACCAACTTATTAATTGTTTCTTGTTTTTTCTCTGTTTTTCACTCCTCTGTTTTCCCTTTGCTTTCTATTTTGGTACTACCTATTTTTTAGTATTCCATTTAAATCTAGCTCTTGCATTTTGACCACATGTCTTTGTAAATATTTTCTGGTGGTTTCTCTAAGGACTGAGACATAGATATAAATATAGATACAGATAGGCACATGTGAATTAAATACATATTCACACATATTTTCACAGTATACTTGGAATTAATATTTTACTACTTCAAGTGGAAGATATAGAAATGTAACCACCACATAGCTCTTTTCAGCTTCCCCATTTTATGTTGCAATTGTCATCTAGAATACATCAACATACGTTGCAAACCTCACCAGTTGATGTCATTTTATTTGCTTTCAATTATCATTTTAAAGAACTTAAGAGAAAAATATTGTATCTTATTTACCCAGTCATTTATCATTTCTGTTGCTCTTTATTCAGAAAGTTCCAAGTTTCCCTCTGGTATTATTTCTCTTTTACCTGAAGAACTTCTTGCAGACCAAGTCTGCTGGTAATAGATCTTCATAGATTTTTTTTTCTTCTGAGAATATCTTACTTTTCATTTTATTTCTCATGGGCATGTTCATGGACATAGAATTCTGGTTGACAGCTCTTTTATTTCAGCATTTAAAAACGTTTTATTGAATTATGTCTACCATTATTTCTGATGAGAAATCTACTCCAATTCAAATCACTGGCCTTCCAACTGTTTTGTGTTGTTTTTACCTCTGGCTGCTTTCAGGTTATTGTATTTGTGTTTATTTTTCAGCAACTTTATTTTCATGTATCTAGGCAGACATATTTATTTGAATTTATCCTAATGGGATTCAATGAGCTTAAATCTTGTTGAATTTATATATTTTTCCAACATTGGAAAAATTTTAACCATTATTTCTTCAAAACTTTAATGCGCATCATAGTCTTTCTTCTCTCCTTCTGAAACCTTGATGATATCGTTATTAGATCTTTTGGTACTGTCGGAGGTCCTAAAGTCTCTGTTCATTTTTTAAAATTTTGTATTTACTGTTTTTAGATTGAATAATTTTTTATTAATCTGCCTTCAAATTTAATGACCTTTTTTTCCCTTGTCTGCATCCTGCTATTGAGTACATCCAGTGTATTTTTTTATTTTGGTTATTGTATTTTTTTTGGTTCTAAAATTTCCATTTGGATTGTTCTAATATGTTCTATTTCCCCTCATGCAGCTTTTAATCTTTCCATTTATTTTAACAGTGATCACGCTCACTTTTTGGAGCATGGTTAAAACAGCTTCTTTGATCATTCCAGCATTTGTGTTATCTCAGGTTAGCATCTGTTGAATGTCCTTTCCCTTGCAAATCATTGAAATTTTCCAGGGACTTCATATATTGAGTAATTTCAGACTGTAATTCCTGGACATATTGAATATTATGTCGTGAGGCACTTGGTTTTAAGTCATGGAAAATATTGATGTTAACTTTTTAAAGGAAGCAATTGATTAAGATGAATTTAGACCACAAGTTCCAGCTGGCTCAAATGTCAATTTAGTTTTCAGAGACTTTGAAGTGCTATTTGAATCCTCCTGCTTCTGTGCCACCCAGTAACCAGTATTAGACCTGCACAGTGGTCTACTTTATAGATGATTTCTCAAAGCTTTTGCTGTATTGTTTATGTTCAAATATATGCGTGTGAAGGTTGAGGGTAAGCCCAGGAGTTTATAAATAATGTTTTGGGATGGATTTCCGCAGCTTCCTCAGCTGAATACTTTTCCTGGAACTTTCCAGCTTCAAAGATTTTCCTTTCTCATCTTCTGCTGAGAAAACTGAGGCTTTGAATTGTCTACTCTGCTGTTTATATTTTGTTATTAGTTCTGCCAGCCAGTTCAAATGGTGAAAGAATTCAGAAAGGGGAAAGAAAGGCAATGAGGATTTCTCCTGTGCTCTTGGCTCAGAGTTTTGGGCATCTGTTCTACTAGTGTTGCCACCACATCCGCCATTGGCTCTGCTATTACTGCCACTGCTGCTACAATGGGTTTGCCTTGGGGCTGAGAGAGGATGGAAAAACAAACAAACAAACAAACAAATAAGCAAAACAAGCAACAAAACTACAAAATTCAAGGGAATTTTGACACTCTTTTTGTTCTTTAGGGGCCCAATTTCCTGCTCCTTCAACCAGAAAGAGAGGGCCTCTCTAAGAGCTCTTTCTGTCTGCACCTAGTGTGTACTTCTGGGTTTGAGGATTTAAAGATACTGCCAGTTCAGTGATACTTGCAGTTCATCACACTGCCTGCTAGCATTTGTTTTCTGGAGTCTTCAGATTAATGTTGCATGCATATTGTCCAGTATTCTCAGTTACCTTCAGTGAGAGGGGCAGAGAGAGGAGTGTTACTTTACCTTATATGTAACTGAAATTTCTATTTCTTTAAGGATACATTTATTTGTATGTAAGTCTTTCTTAATAAGCTGCTAAACTGTGAATTTATGTGGATGTGTATTTTTCTGTTTATTCTTAGCATTTAGCATAATATTTGAAACAAAATATGTGCTTTAAAAAGTTCAGATTAAATTTCTTTCCAACTTTTCTATGCTGAATGTATGGAGGTTTTCAGTTGTTCTTAATATCATATCTTTTAAATTGTTTTATTATTTTTTAAATTTATTTTAGAGACAGGGTCTCACCATGTCACCCAGGCTGGTCTTGAACTCTTGGCCTCAAGTGATCTTCTTGCCTCAGCCTCCCAAAGTGCTGGGATTACAGACATGAGCCACTGTCCCTGGCCTCAATACCATATCTTTAGGGAATGGTTTGTTGTATCATACTGCTCTTACCAAAACATATTGTGACCCAAATGCCCAAATGCACCACCCCAGGCACCTTACTTTCTCCCTGTGAATAATTTAAGCAGAGAACAAAATTCCTCCATTCACTGTCCTCTAGACTTGTAGGAAATGCAAAAGTGCTATCCATTTATTAGTGCTTTCTGTAACAGGCAATAAAATATGTCCTTCAATGCAAAGTGGTCTAAATACGTATATAGATGGAATTTTTCAAAAGCATCTCTGCTTTTCCAAAGATGAAAAGAAATAACTATAAAATGTGAGTCATATGTTAACTCATGCATTAGTGAAAGAAAGAAGTCAAACTAATAAAATAAAAATAATATGATCATTAAAAGAAGCAATGAAAAGTAGCATCTTACGTGGGAATTTTGCAAGGATAGGGCTGGTGTAAAGACACCCACTTCCAGCCACTTTGCCTTTCATTTTGGAGAACATTAAGGAGGACTTAGCGAAAGAATAATGGTAAAGTTATTTTCTCTATTTTCTTTTTCCCTAGTACCTCCTCCTCCAATAGAAGCAAACAAATAAACAAAAGAGACTCAATTATTGGTCAGCCTATAAGCTGTGTGCCTTGAGTTTGGGGATATACTGTAAAGTAAACACTAAGACCTTTGTAGCTGCTTACTAGTCTGGTGGCCAAACTTCAGGAAACTAATTACTTAAATGCTTAGGTAGCAGGATATGGAGTATTTAGGGTTTTTATTTTTTCCTTTTTTGCTTCTGGCTGTGATTTGTGATGTGAGAATGAAGAGGTTTTTCTTTTTTTTTTTTAATTTTTTTACGACTTTGCCTTCCCAGCAAGATATTGAATGAACCGAATGCAGGGACCCAAGGATGCCTCATTACCAGGAGTATTAAAAAGCCCTGCAGAATTGTTACTACAGCTAATGGAAATCATACTGGAAAGAGAGCAATTATTTCTCCCTGTAAACAAAACAAAACAGAAGGCCATAAGATTTTTCTTGAATTTTTTGAGACAGAAGTGTTCTTACAAAGATGTCTAGGTTAGTTTCCTACCTTTTAGAACTTGATAAGACCATGAAAGCAGTAATACAGGTTCTCAGGCAATTGTGTTTTAAAATTATTTTCTACTTTATTAATTCTTCTGATTACACAAATAATGTAAGATAATCACACCAGTGAGACTATGCAAAATATATGAAGAAAATGTTTTTAAAAATATCCTTCAATCCACTCTCACTATAACCCCAAACTATTTTATACATGTTTAAAGGAGCTATGTATTTACCTGTAATAAGGAGGCAAAAGCCATCTGAAGTATCAAAAGTTTCTTTCGTTTTGATTAGAGTTGTATCAAATTGATGCAATTATACCGACTAGGCAGATGCTGACCCCAAGTTCTGATTGGCAGTTCTACACGCTACTGATAAATACAAGTGGGGAACATAATTAGTACTTAACTAACAGTTTGGTAGCAAAGTAAGAGCCCATGTGAGAAGAATAAAAGATATCCTTGAAGGCAAAAAGATCCAGAACTTATCATCATTTGCCACCTGGCCCAGCATCCATGGGCATATCTAACTTGTTATACTTTCAGTAAATCTATGTAGGTTCTGACTCATACTCAAGTGGTAACTCATCAGTCTTTCCTTCACAAAGGTGGCGCAGTCTGGGGATATGCCTGACAGAGGTAATGGGTTATTGATTTTCATATTGCCATTGAGTAACAGTCATATTCTTCTGCATCCCATTCTTGTGGTAACTATGAAAAAGTAAATTTCTAGACTTAATAGGCTCCAATAGTTATTATTAAGGTGACATTTATGGTTCTGGAGACTGTCAATTCTTACATAATGAAATTAAGAACCATCCACCATTAAGCTAGAAGGAGTCTAAACACTCTCATAGTGACATGCACCCATCTCTGTACTCCCAGCTCAATGCCAGCTGAGTCAAGACATGAAAAGATCATGGATTTTGGAATCCTGAATCGTATTCTTACTACCTATATATGGTTCCTTATGTGTAAAAGAAAGAATACTAACATTTTTCTTGGGATCACTATTAAATGAAAAAGAGGCATACAAGTTTGGTAAATACCCTTTTCCTCCCCCTGGGGTAAGTTACTGTACCTGCAATCTTCCTGTGTATCTTAGCCCTGGTCTGACATCAGCAAAGGAGAAAATATTGTTTGCCTATCTCCAGAGAAAGATAACTTTACACAGATGAAAGCAGAATTAGACTGAATTCTTCCATTAAATCTTCACAAGTATATTATATAAAAGTTTTGTAAACAAAACTTTCGGGAAGTGCTGAGATGGTAAAGTGACATAGCTTCCTTTATTGAAGGAATTCTTGGTGATACAAAGCCATTTGCAGAAAGACTAGGAATTCGCTTCATCCAACAGTCCTAAAAGGCTTAACCCATTCCAGCATCAACCCAAGGGCAAAATCTCATATGTCATCAACTCAAATGGTCCCAAATGCCATCTAAGTGAGGTATAGGTGAGACTCTGGATATGACCCATCTTTGGGTAAAATTCCTGTACATCTATGGATCTATGGACTAGGAAACAAGTTATATGCTTCCAAAATGGAGTGCTGGAGAGGCATGGAGTTAACATTTTCATTCTCCTAGGGAAGCAGGAGCCTAGGAAAGCCAGGGTGACACCATTTTAAAAATGACCTCATCTTTAAACTAGCAAAACACATTCTTTGCTGGCCACAACCAATGGTCATAAGATGTTTGCAGTTAAGGGAGCAGATTAATAATGAGGATATTATGTGAAGTAGTTTCCACACTTATTTGACTCCAGAAAATGTTTTTCATCCAGAATAGTTTGTTGGACTAGAAATATGAAGAAAATTCTTTGGGAAGAATGATCACAAAAAAATCCATATAGCTGGCCTTTTGCTTATTTGACTGCTATGTGCCTGCCTCATACAAGCTTGGTACAATTGATGGCTACTGTACACAACAGTTTAGTAATCCTGTATTCTGCGTTTCTCATATCAGGTACACAGGGGAGGGTTTAACATTGGAAATGGGTGGAGTTCTAAGGGGAGTAGAAAAAGTTTGATTTAAAAAGTCGTGAAGATTTAAACAAGGAGTACAAGAGATGACTAAGATGTTTGCTCAATGGCAATGAAGAAATACCCTTAATTTGTATTGAAGCCAAAAGTCAGATCTCTGTGACTTCTCTAGTGGTATCAGCTTGGATTCAGGAGTGGAGATAGCAGGCAGGAAGCACTTTGAGGTAAGATGGAAACCATGAGAGGCCAAAATCAAACTTAGACAATAAATGCCAAGATACATAATCTGCAAAGTATTACGTGCTCCTAATGGGCTGCAACAATGACTACTGCTATTATTGTTATAAAAACAACTTGTGCTAATAAAATAAAACATCAGAAAAAGATTCTAGGGTGATGGCAATAATGTCATTAAATGATTGACCAAAGGATCCATGCTAGATGGGAGAAAAGTAAAGTCAGAACTGACATAGGTAGACAAGGAGGAGTGGTTGACTGGAAATCACAATGAGAAAAAAAGCATCATAAAGGGAAATGAGATACCATATTAGAGTAAGTAAGGCTAATTGCTATAATAATATCCCCAACTCTAGTGTCTAAGACAGTGACAGTTCATTTTTCTCTTGAGAAATCTTGTGCTGATGTGCTAGCAGAGTAGCTTTCCTACAGGCGGTGACTCAGACTCAAGATCTTTCTATCCAATTGTTTATTGAAATCCTCAAAAAGGCTGAGTGGTTGGCAAGAGAAAAACAATAGAGATTATGCATTATCTGTTAGCAGCCAGTTGGAAGTGGTATATATCACTTTTGCCAAAGTTTGCTTCAAAGCCACAACTAGACATATTGCAATTGGGAAATATAGCCTTTCTTTGTGCCCAGAAGAGAAATAAAACGACCTCCTGAAAAACATAACATTGCCCCCACAACACACAGTCACTGCCCTCACAAGCTAATATTAATGAAGAGCCAGGCAATCATCATTCATTCAATGAGAGAGTCATAGAGTATACACTAGGTTCTACCGAGTCACAGGGTCAGGAGTGATTAATTCTGGCTAGGTGAGTCCAACAAAGCATTATTGAAAGGTCGACTTTAACCTGAGCCTTGAAGGATGCCTGGGAGGCCACCTAGCAGAAAAGGCAAGGAAGAAAATTTCTAATGGAGAGAGGAGCATTAGCCAAGACAGAGAACTTTGGAAGAACATGGCATTCTTTTATATACAGCGGGTAGTGGAGAGAACACTGGAAGGATGAGGCTTCGGGGAGAGGACAGGCCAGTTTAAAGAATGGAGAGTTAATTTTAGGGTAAAATGAGGTCCCATGAAAGATTGTAAAGCAGAAGGAAGATTGGCATGATGAGACTGAACATTAAAAGAATAGCTGAAGCTGAAGTAGAGGAAGCAGAAGTGTAGAATACTGGAGAAGAGCAATATGGAAAATATTTTACAGTCTTCTTAGAAGTAAAGGATGAAAACGCACATGAAGCCAGCGGACAATAGGCAGGATCCATCAGTCAGTTTTGGTGATGGCTGAATTAACAGACTTGACTTCCCACCTTCATCTCCCATTCACTGACTGGAGGCTGTTGACCCTAAACTGAAATCACCCCATCTTTCACCATCTTCTAACATCTATAACCCCTTTCTCATACCTCCTCCTTTCTGTTCTTTCCCAAGTAACAAAGGACTTCATTTTGTTTTCAAAAACCCTACCAAGTTGCTGATTAGTTGGTTAGTTTCTGGTAAGAAAGACTATAAGGATTGACTATAATAGTAGAATTTTGAGCACTGGAAATCTAAAAAGTACATTGATTTTTAACAGAACATTCTTTTATGTTTTCATGAATAAAGCCATCTATACAAGATGCCTCCTTTATTTCTACATATAGTGCTGTCACGAACCCTGCCTCATAGGCAGTAATGGCTTGTTTCATAGACTGCACATTCCTGGTCACTAAAAACTGTTATCTTTTTTAGAAAAGTATCAGTTTGAACCACAATGCCCTATCATTTTCTTCCCTTCCCAAGATGTCTGTCATAGAAGTTTGATCAGTTTACATTGTCAATAATGTTGCCAAATTACTTGCAACACTGGAAAAAAGGGATCAAATAGCAAGATCAATGAGACATAGGGGAACCACATCTGGTGCTTTACATCAGTTGTCCACTAACTGCCAGTCTTAATTGGTACTGTGTTTAAAAATACAAATATTGCTGATAAGTAATGACACAAAGACATGCATTAATAAATGTGAAGTTCAGAGCTTTCTTTTGTGGCTTCATCAGTTTCTTTCCAGCTCCCAGACCCTTACCCTCTTCTGTCCCCCACAGACAACCATTGTTGTCTATTGTCTAAGAAGCATGCCATTCAGTCTCCAATGCAGAAGCTAGTCAGATTTTTCTATAGAAAGGCCATTTAGACTCCCACATAATAGGCTGAATATTAGCTTGAGGTTCTTGTGTGGATGGTTTAAATTGACTCTAAGTTACCAAGCTGTTTTCTAAGCATCAAATGACCACAAGGCATTATTACAGCACTCAAGACCCTTGAAGTTTTTAGTCTTAATACTTCTACCAATTGTACCAAGTTCTGCAATCAAGGAACAGAGGGGACAATCAGGTTCTGCAGAATGTCTTTTCAATCAATGTTTGTTGAATACTGTTGTAAGCCCAGCAGCATTCAAGATAAAATGGAATGGGAAGTGAAGATAAACCAAACTGTATATACACACAAGGAGTTTACCGTCTTGTAAGGAAGATACACACATATACTCCCGACAGAGATACACAATAGTATTGGAAGGATGGAGCAGAAGGGACAAAGTTAGGAGACATTTGAAAAATGGATTCAACTGGATTATGATACATGATTTTTGACTGAAATGCATTAAACATTTCCATAAGTAGGTACTTTGCTAAGCCCTTTCCATGCAAAATCACATCCAATCCTCACAATAACTCTATGACATGGGTATTACTATCCTCACTTACTTGCAAATGAGAAAACTGAAGCTCAGAAAGAAAAGATAGGCAGCTCTACCAAGCTTTAAAAAGGGGATAAAGTTAACATTTAAGCCCAGTTATGTCTGGTTCCTGAGTCTGCTCTCTTAACCATGATGCTATATGACTTTCTGAGATACTGGGGTTAGAGAAAGGGGAGATAAATATGTGGCTGAGTTTTCAAGTGAAGGCAATTACAAGAATGATGGTGTGTTTGCCACACAGCAGAGCAACTCCCATGTTCAGTTTTTATTATGAGGAGTTAGTTTGGGACCCAATTCAGGTGGTCTATACTCAGTAAATGAAAAGTGAATCAGTTTCCCTGAAAAATGAATGATTTTATTGAGCTGAAATTCACTTGATTTGGGAAAATAGAAAAACTTTAAACCCCTTTTGTTGAAAATACATGACTCTGGAGAAAAGTTAGCTTTTTTTTTTTTTTTTTGAGGTGGAGTCTTGCTCTGTCACCCAGGCTGGAGTGCAGTGGCAAGATCTCGGCTCACTGCAATCTCTGCCTCCCAGGTTCAAGCAATTCTCCTGCCTCAGCTCCTGAGTAGCTGGGATTACAGGTGCGTGCCACCACGCACGCTAATTTTTGTATTTTTAGTAGAGACGGGGTTTCACCATGTTGGTCAGGCTGGTCCTCAAACTCCTGAACTTGTGATCTGCCCACCTTAGCCTCCCAAAGTGCTGGGATTACAGGTGTGAGCCACCGCGCCCAGCCCTTATTCTAAACCTTTTATTAATAAGGATTCATTTAATTCTCATGATAGCCCCATGACATTGGTACTGTTTCCCCCCACTTTACAGATGAGAAAACTGAGGCAAAGAGAGGTTATGTTACTTTCCCAAGGTCTCTCTCATCTTGTAAGAGCTGTACTTGGTACTTGAGCTCAGGCTGATCTGATGTTAGAGTCATGACCACTGAGACTGCTGCATCTATTTCCAGTTGACGATGAAATGACCCAGAGCTACTGGACCCTTATTTGGAGGCTACCCCCAATTCCAGTTTCCAGAACCAACCATGTTTCATTTGGGGTTATTTTAAGGAAGCTTAGGTCAGTAGCTCAGGTTCATCTTGCTCTGCCCATGGACTGCTTCAGTTTTGGGAATCAGATTTTTCCTTTCTTCCTATAACTAAGCCCTTTTACATATTTCCTCTTGGGAAACTTTCTCTTCTTGGGCCCTATTCCCTTATAACCAGTAAGATGCTCTGCCAGAATACTTTTTCTAGGAAGCAGGCCTGCAAGGCTCAAAGCACTGCTTGCTCTTGTTAATCCTCAACCTGCCTCTAGGTTTATAGTAAACCCTAGAAAGATGGCTTAGGTTCTGCTACCCACTTACAAATTCCTTCTTGAATCCAATTCCTTCCAGATCTGCAGTCATGCTTTGTATTCAGGTTAGTATCCCATCACAATGTTTCAGGCAACCTTGGGGCAGCCCATGATCTCTTGTTAGGTCCCCTGGATGCCAGCTTTTGCGTGGATGCCTCTTGTCACTTGCCACCATGCCACATGCCACCATGATTTCTGTGCCACACCTTCTGAATGAAAGCATTTTCTAGAGCTGCTTCTCTCCTCCCCACCTCTCAGGTATTTATGCCACCTACCTTAGGTAGATCTAAACCCAGGGTTCAGATTCATGTAGGTAACTCTTTGATGTCGTACATTTTAACATAAATCACATGAGAGGGAGAAGGTGTAGGGGAAGCAAAGGAAGGAAAGGGTGCAGTGGGAGAGGCAAGAAGGAGATACAGAGGAAGAAAATGAAAGACTGAAGAGAAGGAATCAGGGAAGGAACTAGAGAGGGGGAGATAGAAAAAGAGTGAGGAAGAGTAGGGGAGACAATGGGGAGAAAAGAGAAGAGAAAAATGCAGCCACACCTTTTTAAAAAGTAGAGTTGAAAATATAAGAACACAATTAACCCTTCCCAGGTAGCAGATACTGTCTTTCCAGTCACCCAACAGAAGCAAAATAGTCACAATGGCTTCAAAAGTCCCACAGTTAAACTTGAACAAGTCGTGGAACTGTTTGACATACAGAATCCAAGAAGGGTTTCTCTTTGAGTGTTGTCACTACACGTTAGACTTCCTAGATTCTCCACTCCCAAAGGAGCCATTTAACCTCTGCTTGAATGTTAATGTTCTGTTGGGGAAAATTGTCTTATTTCCACTATTCTCACAAACAGTAGCAAGTATTTGGTAAATAAAGGAAATTTAAACAGCTTGGGGAGTGCCTATGCAATGCCAAAACCAACAGGCAATCTGATAAAAAATTTAATTCATCAAGCCTATTTATTGATCCTTTTATTCATTTGTTTGCTGAGCATCTGCTGGTGCAAGACAAGGTATGCATGTGAGGAGATCTTTAGCTGGACTCATGTTTTATCTGCCTTCAGAGAGACTTCAAGCTATTTTAGGATAGGGGACTTCACACGAATAATTACAACACAGGATAAGAAGGGATAACATGAGAAAGTGATGTGGATCTTACGAAGGGAAGGCCAAACTCAGTGGCTCACACCTGGAATCCCAGCACTGTGGGAGGCCAATGTAGGAGGATCACTTGAGACCAGGAGTTCAAGATCAACCTGGGCAACATAGTGTGACACTGTCTCTACAAAAACTGAAAATAAAAATAATTAGCCAGGCACAGTAGCATGCATTAGTAATCCCAGCTACTTCGCAGGCTGAGGACAGGGGATCTCTTGAGACCTGGAATTTGAGGCTGCAGTGGGCAATGATCAAATCACTTACTCGAGTCTGGGCGACAGAGCGAGACTCTCTCAAACTTTTTAATAAAAAAAAAAAGGAAGATTGTTTTTGGCTAGGAAAACAAAGGTGACACTAGAGTGAAACTTCAAGTTCACTGAAGTTGAACAGAATGCCATAGCCCCACCAGGGGAAGGAACACAAGTAAGAATAAAGGCCAAGTAGTAGAGAAGAAAAGTACACGCTCCAGGACCAGTGAACAGATTAGTATGGGAAGACTAACTAAAGTTATACCAATTTATTAATGGAAAATAACAGTTTCACTTTTCAGAGTAGTTGATGGTAAGGATAAATCAGAGGAGGGAGTCTTATTCTGAATAATTGTTTTTAGTTTTATTAAGATATTTAAATAGTGTTAGGATGTTTGAGGTGGTATAACTTAGTCTAGTTCTTCATTTTTCTATCTGTTTATAATTAGATCTCAAACTCTCTATTTTAAGAAGTTTGATAAATTTCTTGGGCTCCACTACTTGTATATGAGATAAAAGAATCATATTGTTCCCCTATACACTAGAGGCTTTTTTTTTTTTTTTTTGAGATGGAGTCTTGCTCTGTCACCCAGGCTGGAGTGCAGTGACGCAATCTCGGCTCACTGCAACCTCTGCCTCCCGGGTCCATGCCATTCTCCTGCCTCAGCCTCCCAAGTAGCTGGGACTACAGGCACCCGCCACCACGCCCAGCTAATTTTTTTGTATTTTTAGTAGAGACGAGGTTTCACCATGTTAGCCAGGATGGTCTCGATCTCCTGACCTCATGATCCACCCGCCTCGGCCTCTCAGTGAATACCCATTCCTTCACTGGGGGCCAAGGTAATTCTGAAGTGACAGTTTTTCAGGGGCTTAAAAAGATCAAGCAACAGTGTGGATTTGAGAAAGAGACTCATTCCACGAATGCTTATTTAGTGACCATAAGGGTTCTGTCCTAGGGATATACAGGTGAATAACAAATGTGAAGTGCTTATAGTTGGGACAAGAAGTCAAGTATCTTTTATAAACCATGCTGCCGTAAGAGCTTGGTGGGAGGAATGTTTAGTTTCAGCTGCGGGCAGTGTTGTAGTGAGGAAACCTTCACAGAGGAAATGGCTCAAATCTTGAAGATGCTGTGGCAGACAGATTATCTGGCCACCCTTGGGTGATGGTGAATACAGCCCGGAGTACACAGTGCAATGGTGATGCTCAGGCAGTTCAGAGGAGATGCTGTTCACTGCCGGCATTCCATGGAGGCTCTTCCTAGCAATGGGCTCCTGGTTGGGCGTGGTGGCTCACGCTTGTAATACCAGCACTTTGGGAGGCCGAGGTGGGCAGATCACAAAGTCAGGAGATTGAGACCATCCTGGCTAACACGGTGAAACCCTGTCTTTACTAAAAATAAAAAATAAAAAAATTAGCAGGGCGTGCCTGTATTCCCAGCTGCTCGGGAGGCTGAAGCAGGAGAATCACTTGAACCCGGGAGGTGGAGGTTGCAGTGAGCCGAGATCACGCCACTGCACTCCAGCCTGGGTGACAGAGCAAGACTCCACCTCAAAAGAAAAAAAAAAAAAAAAGAAAGAAATGGGCTCCTGTGCAGAAATGTCCCCAAGTAGTGACAGCTCAGAATTTTCTTGGTTTTGATGTTGTAAATATTGATTGCTTTAAGAAAATTCTGTATTCAGTCAGCTTACTTTTAAAACCTTTCATTATAGAGAATATTAAACATATACAAAAGAAAACAGAAGAGTGTAATAAGCATTCATCATGTACCCACTATTCAGATTCAACAACTATCAACTCATGACTAGTTTTATTTTCTCTATACCCCGATTTCACCTCTTCCCCTTCCATGTCATTTAGTATTATTATTATCATTATTATTTGAAACAGGGCCTTGCTCTGTTGTGCAAGCTGGAGTGCAGTGGCATAATCTTGGCTCACTGCAACCTCAATCTCTCTTCCATGTTATTTTAAATCAACTCCAGCCATCAGATTATTTTCCTTATTAATATTCCAATGTGTGTCTCTAACAGATACTTTTTAAATCACTCTTTTTGGTAATGTAGTTTATATGAGAACAATTTAAACTCTTATATTGCTATTTTGATTATATAAGTAACACATGATCACTATGGACAAATCAGAATATACAAATAAACAAAAAGAAGAATCTGATAACAACCCTATTCCTATTACCTAGAGAGCATTGTTGTTTTTATTTTGTCATATAATATTCTAGGCATTTTAAATTCATATATAATAGTTGTACATATTTATGGAATACATGTGATATTTTTATGCATGCATACAATGTCCAATGATCAAATCACGGTAAATGGGTTACCCATCACTGCAAACATTTATCATCTCTTTGTGTTGAGAGCATTCCAAATCTTCTCATCAGGTCACTTCCTCCGTGAAGACTACCTCACTACAGCACTGTCCCCAGCTGAACATTCCACATTTTGAAATATGCAATAAATTGTTGATAATTGTAGTCACCTTACTATGCTATTAAACACTAGAACTTATTCCCGTTATCTAAGTGTATTTTTGTAGTCATTAACTAATCTAGACATTTTTCTTGTGTATTAATCAAAATGAGCTTATACTCTATATAGTACATTATATTTTTCCCTTAATGTAAGTACACACATCCCTACATCATATACGATGCTTGTATACTATTTTATTTTGTGGATATGTGAGATTTATTCCCCTAGTCCCCTATTATTAGGCATTTTGTTTGTTCTCTAAATTTCCAGCATTCCATGTTCCTGCAGGAGTCTGCACATAGAGAGCTTCACCGCTCCATTCATCCTGTGCTGACAGGCTTGGAAAGCACCTGCTTGACCGTAATATAGGCTCAGTTATTGCCGTTATTTTTTGATACTTAATACTTTAGAAAGTTATTTCTTGGTATTTAAGTGAAACCATTTATAATATGTTCTATTTTGACTTATTTTTTCAAAGTTCTTGCTAATAAATTAGTTTATCTTCAGATAGAGAAAAAACTGCAAAATAATTTTTTATAAATTATGTTTGTGATGAACTGACCACAACAATATATATGGAATGGGCTCATGATGTAGCATTTTCAATTGACTTGTAGTCTAATTCTTGAGAAAGCATTTTAAAATAAAAATTATCCATAAATTAATATGAAGTCAACAATGTTTGTTCTTTCCTCATAGTTGTGTTCAGAAAGAAACTGTTTTACTATTCAAGATTTGTGCACTTTTAAAAATAATTTATTGAGGTATAATTACTGTACAATAAATTGAACCCTCTCAAAATGTAAATTGGATGAATTTTGACATACGTATGTATACACCAGTGAGACTATTGCCACAGTCAAGATTCAGGATGTTTTCATTACATACATTTTCCTCTATTTCTCTGATCTGTGCTTATTTATTTATTTATTTATTTATTTTACTAAGCCAAGAACTTTGTTTTCATTTTTTAAACATCATTTAACAAGAAAAACGTTCAACCAAATTTTTTAATTAAAAAATTTCTTCCCGAGTCCAGGTGTTCTCATCGTTCAATTCCCACCTGTGAGTGAGAACATGTGATGTTTGGTTTTTTGTTCTTGCGATAGTTTGCTGAGAACGCACACCGGGGCCTGTTGTGGGGTTGGGGGAAGAGGGGAGAGAAAGCATTAGGAGATATACCTAATGTAAATGATGAGTTGATGGGTGCAGCGCACCAACATGGCACATGTATACATATGTAACAAACCTGCACGTTGTGCACATGTACCCTAGAACTTAAAGTATAATTTTAAAAAAAATTCTTAATTCAAAAAATGTAAGGGCTACAGAAAACTTGTAAGAATTTTATTATACAAACTCTCATGTAACCTTTAATCTGACTGACTCATTCAACTATTGTTAACATTTTGCCATATTTGTTCACCTTCCTGCCCTCCATCCAGCCATGCCTAAACACGTCAACATGTATTTTTAAACAACAAAGCCTGCATCATTTTCAAAATCAGAACATTTCACATTAATGCCATATAAATATGGGGTACATAGTTTATATTCAAATTTTACTGACTTAACATTTTTTTCCCAAGCCAGGTTTCAATTCAGAATCTCACACGCATTCAATAGTCATGTCTCTTTAATTGCCACTAATTTGGAAGTTCCTCTCTTGTTCTTTGTTCATGGCATTAACATCTTTTTATTACACATTAAGTACTAGGGTACAAGTGCACCCCGTGTAGGTTTGTTACATAGGTATACATGTGCCATGTTGGTGTGCTGCACCCATCAACTTGTCATTTACATTAGGTATTTCTCCTAATGCTATCCCTCCCCCATCCCCCCACCCCACGACAGGCCCGGGTGTGTGATGTTCCTCACCCTGTGTCATCACTTAATTCCCACCTATGAGTTCAATTCCCACCTATGAGTGAGAACATGCGGTGTTTGGTTTTTTGTCCTTGTGATAGTTTGCTGAGAACGATGGTTTCCAGCTTCGTCCATGTCCCTGCAAAGGACATGAATTCATCCTTTTTTATGGCTGCATAGTATTCCATGGCATTAACATTTTTAAAAGTATGGCTTGTGTATTGTAGAATGTATTTCAATTTGTGCTGGTCTGATTGTTACCTCGTGATTTGATATCATTAGGTAGTTTTAGTAAGAATAGCAGATAAGTGATGTCTTGCACTTCTGAAGACATCACCTCAGGATACAACTAATATCAGTTTATCCCATTATTGGTGATGTTGGCTTTGATCACTTGGTAATGGCAGCTATCTGTCAGATTTCTCCACTGTAAAGGTCCACTTTTCCTCTTTGTAATTAATAGGTAATATGTGAATAATTACTTTGAAAGTTACTAATATCTTTATCCTAATAAAATTTTTCCATTGTAAATTTCCATAGTAAATTGATTAAGTGATGATTCTTGCTTGAATCAATTATTAGCATCATGATTGCAAAACAGTGATTTTCCAATTCTTCTATTTCTTATCCATTTATTGCCTGGCATCCTACTATAAAGAAGTTTTCTTTCTTCCTCCTTTGATTTGTTTCTTTCTTTGTTGCTTTGTGTATTTTTATGGACTCATGGATTCCTTTTTACTGAATATGTCATCAATTCTTACCATTTTTAATTGTGACGCTCAAATTCCCAGTTTGGCCAACAGATGTCCCATCAAACTGGCTCTTGTGTCACGGTGATAGAGCTCTCTCCTTCTGAGCACTTTCTTATTCTCTAGGATGAGATGCCTTTGCTGCCTAGTCCTGGTTTCAGACATTTCTCCAAGGATTTCTGATTCCTTTCAGTGGTAAATATTTAGAAACCAAGATCTCAGTGCTAGGTGAATTTTGTGTCTTAAACATTACCACAGTATCATTATCAGACCAAACACATTAATAATAATTCTTTAATGTCATTATATATCCAGCCAGAGTACCAATATCCAATTGTCTCAAAATGTCATAAGTCTTAGTCTACACAGTGTGTTGATTTATATGTCTTTCAAGTCTTTTTTAACTTTTTAACTTTATAGCTTTATTCACTATTTCTCTTTTTGTGTTCTTGCCACTTATTTGTTGAAGAAAGCAAGTTGCTTTTTCTATACAGTTTTGCATAGCCTGGATTTTGCTGGTCAAATTCCTGTGACATAGTTTAACATATTATTTTGTCCTCTGTATTTGTATAAATTGGCAGTTGGATCTAGACCCTTTATCAGATTTGGATCCCTCTTCCTCCTCCCCTTTCTCCTTGGGGCAAGACTACGTCATAGGTGGAATTGCATTCTATCAGGAGACACATAATTCTGTTTGTCCTTCATTCTGTGATGTGAGCAACGCTGATTATCAGTTAATTCATTTGCAGTTGCAAAATGGTAATATTCTATAATTTCTTCTTCAACTATTAGCTGGAAAGTTGCATAAAATGGAACTTTCTTCTTTTTCTTGGTTACCTAGTGATACAGTTTATTTAGTAAAGGCAAAATAAATGTTTGAATCTTTCCCTTGATCCATTTTCAAAATAATGAATGCAGTCCCTAGCATTCTCTGATAGTAAAAAACTATTTTCCTTTTTCATAGTACTATGAATGCATGAATTTAAGCATATTTTATATGTTTTAATCCATTGCAGTTAGTATCCTTACTGATGCTCAGATTGCCCAATTTGTGGTCAATGGGGGTCTATTGACACTGGCATGTAAGTCACTTGAAACAATCTTAGTAGGTTTTGATATCTTCCTTGTTATCTAGTATGGCAAGCTATACCAGGCTTATGTTTGTATTTTCTGCCCTGGATATAAAAATAACATCTGAGAAATAGAGATGGTTATTATTACTGGTTTGGTCATTGTTTGTAGGCTTTTTTAGTGGATCTTCAAAAAAGATGGTTCTTCAAAAAAATATGGTTCTTCAAAAAATAAAATATCTCACGAATTCATTGCAATAATTCCAGTTATGATTTAGTACTACTGATATTTTGCTTAACTTCTCAAACTTACATCTATATCTCCTTTCTCCCTAAAGAAAATTTTACTTCTCAAGGGCACAAGGGATGATAGTATTAGATTTCACATAATTACTCATTTGCTTCATCTCACATTACAAACAAAGCACTGTTAGAATCAAAATACCATCACCAATATGATTACTGGAAGCAGTTAGAAACATTTTTCCCCCTGCTCCTTGCAGACCAGGGCTAACTCGTAGGCAGTGGGCCCAGAGTCGGCCTGAAACATTTTTTACAATTACTTTTTTTCTTAGATTATATCCTCTTTAGAGATGCACATTCAAATTTATGTGTTTTAACGTTTCCTGTAATAGTTTCTCTCTATACATTTATGTCATCGGTAGATACAGAGTAGATTTATTTACTTTGTTGTTTCCGATTTATAGATATAGTTATTTTGTTTAAATTATATTTTAAAATTGTACAATATATTTGTACCTCTCCAAGATCAAGTCTACAAATAAAATATATTCAAAGAAGTCTACCTTCTAGCTCTATTTCTCCTCTAAAAACCACTTATCCCTTTATAGTTAACCTCTGTTTTTGTTATTTGCTTACACATAAGTAGAAAAAATACATCATCCAAAACCCTGGTTGGGATAGCGGTGATAATAGTAATATTAGTGGTAGTTGTAGTAATACCATTGAAATATTAGAACGCTCTCTTACATGTATGGTGTGTTACAATTTATACTCTTTTATTCCATTCATTGTATCATTTGTATAATAACTCTCTGGGACAAATGTTATTTTCATTTTATAAATACAAGCATGTGTCGCATAATAATGTTTCAGTCAACAACAGACCACAGTACAATGTCGGTCTCATAAGATTTTAATGAAGCTGAAAATTTCTATCACCCAGTGAAGTCACAGCTGTTGTAATGTCATAGCACAACTCATTACTCACATGTTTGTGGTGATACTGGTGTAAACAAACTTACTGCACTGCCAGTCATATAAAAGTATAGCACATACAATTATGTACAGTACATGGTACTCAATCATGATAATAAACAATTATGTTATTGGTTCATATAGTTACTATACCATATTTTTATCATTATTTTAGAGTGTGTCTCCTTCTACTTATATACTTTTTAAAATTTCACTGTAAAAGAGACCCAGGCAGGTCCTGCCGGAGGTATTTGAGGAAGGGTTGTTATGGACGGAGATGGCAACTCCATGCCTGCTGTTGCTCCTGAAGACCTTCCAGCGGGACAAGATGTGGAGGTGGAAGATAGACACTGATGATCCTGACCCTGTGTAGGACTAGGCTAATATGTGTATCTGTGCCTTAGCTTCTAACAAAAAAAATTTAAAGAGTTAAACAAAAATAGAAAATAATAAATAGAAAGAAGCTCATATAAAAAGGACATAAAAATATTTTCATGCAGCTCTTCAATGTGGCTGTGTTTTAAACTGTTTTTAGAAGAGTTAAAAAGTTAATAAAAGTTAAAAGCTTTAGAAAGTTAAAAATTTACAATAAGCTAAAGTTAATTTATTATTGAAGAAATTAAAAATTTTAAATAAATGTAATGTAGCCTAAGTGTGCAGTGTTTATAAAGTCTACAGTAGTGTGCAGCAATGGCCTAGACCTTCACATTCACTCACCATTCACTCACTGACTCGCCCAGAGCAACTTCCAGTCCTGCAAGCTCCATACATAGTAAGCGCCCTGTACAGGTGCAGCAGTTTTTATCTTTTATATTGTATTTTTACTATACCTTTTCTATGTTTAGATGTGTTTAGATACACAAATACTTTCGATTGGGCTACAATTGCCTGCAGTATTCAGCACAGTAACATGCTGTACAGGGTTGTAGGTTTGTAGGAGCAATAAGCTGTACCATAGAGCCTCGGTATGTGGTAGGCTATACCATCTAGGTTTGTGTAAGGACATCATAATATTTGCACAACAATGCACTCGCCTAATGCAGGGGTCCCCAACCCCCGGGCCACGGACAGGTATGGGTCTGTGGCCTGTTAGGAACCAGGCTGTACACCAGGAGGGGAGCAGCAGGTGAGCGAGCATTACCACCTGAGCTCTGCCTCCTGTCAGATCGGGGCGGCATTAGATAATCACAGGAGCTCAACGCCTACCCCTATTGTGAACTGCACACATGAAGGATCTAGGTTGCGGCTCCTTACGAGAATTTAACGCCTGATGACCTGAGATGGAACAGTTTCATCCCGAAACCATCCCCCCACCACCCGCACCACCCAGACCACTCATCCATGGAAAAATTGTCTTCCATGAAATCGGTACCTGGTGCCACAAAGGTTGGGGACTGCTGACCTAATGACACATTTCCCAGAACATATCCCTGTCATTGATACCTCTCGGGTTCAATTTTTATCTCTGCGGAAATGGGAACTGTGCAGGTTAAATGAGGTACTGTGACACTATGGGCCACATGAGACTGCACATGCCCCAAACTGCCGTAACCACGGAGGATTTCCTGGTGACGCAGAAGCTGTGTATTATAGAACACAGTGCTGCCAAATGAAGAAAAGATATTCAGCTCAAGCATAATCAAAAAAATTTTTTTTCTGCTAAAATTATGAGGGGTACAACCCCTTTCTCTTCAAGCAGCAACTGGGCAGAGCTCATGGGCATAGGGCCCAGCACACAGGCATGGATGCTGTCAGGACACAGGGGCACTGAGCCATTGTTCTCAGAAACCACCATTGTGACGTCATTCCCACATAAAAACTAATTATTGTCATGGATTTTATTTTAAAATATTAGACGGAATCAAAGCTTCCTAAACAAAACACTTGAACAAATCTATAAGCAAAACTTAGGACTATTTCTGCTAACTGAAACGAACCTCCCTGTTATGAAGAACTTGATCTTTTTTTTTTTTTTTCTTTTGAGACGGAGTCTCGCTCTGTCGCCCAGGCTGGAGTGCAGTGGCGCAATCTCAGCTCACTGAACCTCCACCTCCCGGGTTCACACCATTCTCCTGCCTCAGCCTCCTGAATAGCTGGGACTACAGGCACCCACCACCACGCCCGGCTAATTTTTTTTATATTTTAGTAGAGACGGGGTTTCACCATGTTCGCCAGGATGGTCTCGATCTTCTGACCTCGTGATCCACCCGCCTCGGCCTCCCAAAGTGCTGGGATTACAGGCGTGAGCCACCGCGCCCAGCCAGAACTTGATCATTTTATTGCCCCATGTGTGGCAGAGGACAGTCCAGGGAACACCAAAAGGATTATTACAGCATGAATTATTCTAGAGGTAGCAGCATCGGGACAAACTAACTTCTCTTAGCCACACTATTACCCATTTCTTGGTGATGAGGCAATCAGAAATGAATGCCAGAACCTCTTTGTATTCAGATTTACATTTCGGTCAACCATAGAGAAAAAGGAAATAGTTTTGTATTTCTTTGACTTAGTTTGGTCAATCTTGATCAAATTATCTTTTGCCTTTATAAAATCCTGAGTTTACAAGTCTTCTGGGTGTAGACATAGATACATATTCAGACTGGTGGGCAGTCCAAATGTGAGAATTTTATTTAAAATCTTGGCCCTCAGCTGGGCAACCATAGATTGCTATACGCCTTAGAGAAAATTGACTAAGTCAAGAGTTATTTCTGTCTTACTGAGCACCAAGCCTGATACATTCAGTTTCCTCTCCTTTTCTTTAAGCACCACAAAAGAAAAGGTTTCTTTTGATACGATTTATTATGGTACTTTTCAGGTGGACAAGGAGTGACACAGGGTGGAGGAGTCACATCACACTTCCTTAAATCAATGTCTTGTCATCAAACTCTCATTGCATGGGAACGTAAGTAGTGGGGCTTAGGCTATGAATATAAAGAAATGTCTTCTCAATAAATAACTCCTCCCAGGTGTTAGTACCATCTTCTGGAGTTGAAATAAGCCTTTGTTTTATGCCTTATGCTAGAAATAAAAGTCCTAACATCTTTAAAAACTCAACATACTATTTTCCTTTCCATTCTTCTGAGCTAAAGAAATAAAATGAGTTGTATGGGGCAGTCATAAGCTGGTTCTGATTTTAGGGCTAACAATATCTAAGCAGATGTCTGGAGTTAGACATCTCTTAATTTTCTTTGAGCCTCAGTTTTCTCATCTTCAATAGGAAATTGGGAATCTCAGTCCAATAATTTTTTTTTTTGCAAAAATCAAATGAGATTTCGCTCCAAAGGCAATCTGCAAAGTAAATTGCTATAGGAGAATAAGTATTATTATTATTAAGATCCATTTTATTAAGACCAAGTATACAGTTTCTAGGTAGCAAAGAGTCCTTATGGTTTGGTGAATAAATGGCCATTTGACTAAAAGACTATTTTCCTCCTCTTTTATTCCCCATTAGGGGAAGTTAATTTCTTTGGAAGCAACAATGCTCACTTGAAATCCTTTAAAGATTCTCCATTTCCTATGAATCAAGTATAACCTACTCATGTTGCCAAATCAAGGCATTCATAGTACTGTCCAAAACTCTTTTTCAGGACTTATATTTCAATATTTTCATTATACCTAACAAATAAGGTGAACTCACCTGTCTCTGTTCTCCGACTCTACCTTAGATGTCCTTCTGTGAATTTTCTCAAGCTGCTTCCTTAACCCAGGAAACTTTCCCATCAATCTTTCCTTAATTATATTTTCTATCTTCTTAAGGCTCATTTTTGAAATAATATTCTTCATGAGGCTAATTCAATAATTCCCTTCCAGACATGAATTTTATTTCCTTTTCTAGGTCCTTATTTTTCTTTTCCCATCTCACCAATCTCTTCCTGTCCCCTGGTTCCTCCCTGTGACCCAAATGTCAGCTTAGAGTCTCTAGTTTTTGATATTCAAATGAAGAGACTCCTGTCCCACACTACATGCAGTGAGACTGATACATTCCACCTTATTCACCGGTTATGGGAGGAGGAAGGATGATGATTTCTGCTATCTTTAGTTGCCTATGCCTCTGAATCTACTCAAGATAAATTCAGATAAGTTAGCATAGTTTGTAGTTTGTCTTGTCATTGTACACAAGATGTCCTGGCTCAGCTTCGGATTGCCCCAGGCATGGAACACAGCTTCCTTTCCTTATTTTCTCATGCCCTCCACCCTCAGCGCTCCCCAGGTATCACTCACGTTAGGAATGTGTGGTGGAGCAGAGGACCAGAGATAAGGAAGGCACAGAGAGAAACAGAAAGCACTTGAGAGCTACAGGAGGATCCCCTCAAATCCTGAACATTAACCTGCGCATACGTTGGGTGAAACTCCTAAGGCTGGACATGAGGTATTGGTAGAGCCTTTGAAAGGACATGCTGTAGTAGTAAGGCTAAATTAATGCCAGAGTAAATGCTGATCTGTACCCATTGTAACAAAGCTTAAAAGAAGGATTCAGAATAATCGAACCAATCTGCAAGTAATTTAACTGTGTGCCATAACAAAGACCAACACTCTTTAAAGAAATACAACTAAATCACAAAACCAACAAATACATGAGACCTGACATCCAATAAAAAATTTCCCAGCATGCAAAAAAGAAACATGAAAATATAACCCATAATAAGGAGAGAAATAAATCAATAGAAAAAGACTCAGAAATGACATTAATAAAGGTAATAGCAGACAAGGAACTTGAAATAGCTATTATAAATATTCAAAAAGATATATAATAAAACATAAACATGATAAAATACAAGATATTTTTAAAATATCTAAATGAAACTTTTAAGATGAAAAATATATCAAAAATGAAAAATACGCTAGATGAGATTCAGAACCATTTAGACACCACAGGAAAAAAACAGTAAACTTAAAAACATAGCAATAGAAACCATCCAAAATGAAGCACATATAGAAAAATAAAGACTGAAACAAGTGGACAAAGCTTCTGTGAGTGTAGGATAATATAAAGTTTTCTAAGATAAGTAAATTGGAGTTACAGAAAAAGAAGAGAAAGATGAATGACACATAAAAAGATCTGAAGAAAGAACAGCTAAAGGTTTTCCCCTCAAATTTGGTTAAAACTATAAGTTTACGGATTACGTGTTTCAGTGAACCCCAGGCAGACTATTAAACACACACGCACACACACACGCACACACGCAAATCATAATCAAATTGGTGAAAAGCACATAAAAATTTAAAAATATTAGCAACCAGAGAATACAGGGACATTATACAGAAAGGAGCAAGGATAAAAATTACAGCAGATTTCTTGTTGAAGATGACATAAGCCAGAAGGCAGTGGAGTGGGATGGAGAAGTCAATGTCCATTTCTACACCCAGAAATGAAACCTTCTGAAACAATGAAAGCTGAAAGAATGTGTCACCAACAGAACCTGACTACGTACAAGTCCTTAAGGGAAAAATCACACCTTTAATCTGGATTATTTCTCTCTTTCTATGATTGTGTAGTTTCCTCTATCAGACCCAGCAATCCATGTTTTATGTTGGTGGTTCCATGTTACTTCTACCAACAGGTACAACATATGTTGCAGACCTGGCCACTTATCCTGAGGTCAGGTTGGTTAATTTCCAGGATGTAAACCTGTATCTGAGTGTTCCTGGCTTCCTACTCCTGCAGATACACAGAACCCTCTGGAGGCCACACTCAGTGTCATCTTGTTTTACCCTATCCCATAGGCAGGTGATCCCTGCTTTAGGCAGTGCGCATGGGATCCACACATGGTCCTCTTTTAGACCTATTCTCTATAGAAACAGACTTTCAGCTATGACGGCTGTTTCCAGATTCAGAGCCTAGCAT
Source organism: Homo sapiens (assembly GCF_000001405.40). Classification (NCBI taxonomy): domain Eukaryota; kingdom Metazoa; phylum Chordata; class Mammalia; order Primates; family Hominidae; genus Homo; species Homo sapiens. The sequence continues at coordinate 342,053 of NW_025791769.1, read as the reverse complement.
CCCTGGATCTTGTACCCTCTTTCCTACCTCCCATTTCATCCAACTTTTCTCTTCCTGGGTCCTCTTCTAGGTGAGTGGCACAAAAATGCACCTGCTATATCACACTGAAACCTGAGACTCAGCTTGACTCTTCCAATTCCACTGTGTGACTAACGGTTTTCAAACTTCTCTTGAGTCTGTCAATTTCTCTCCTTTTTCTTACCAGCCACCTTAGCTAATTCCCTCCCATTTTTTAGCTGTAGCTCAACAGTGCCTCCTGGTCCTCCCACATCCACTCAACTCATTGTCCAGTGATGCCATAGTGACCTCCTTGGTTCAAATCTGATGACATCACTCATCTGAGTAATGTCTCTTCATTCTCTTTAAAGTAAAGTTGAAGCTTTTTAAGATCTTTAATCAGCTCTTTTTTTTTTTATTGCTGCAACCTCATCTCTCATCATTTGTTGCCTCCAACTTTTACTGTGACCATTAAACGATGAAAATTTCTGAATGTTCCATGTTCTCTTTTGCTTCCAGGATTTGCAGAAATTGTTCTGCCTTCTTGAAGCGTTATCCTTCTTCATCTATTGAATGTGTCATCACCTCCCCAGTAAAGCCTTTCCTGATCTCCCTAGCCTTGATTAAGTGCTCCTACTCTGTTCTTCAGCTTGTGTTGCACTGATTCAGGTGGTGCTAATTGCACTATATTTACTTCTGCTTCCACAAATAAAACTGTGAACAACTTGAGGGCAGGAGCTTTCCATCACCTAGCATGGTATCTGATACATTGTTGGTGCTCACAGAGATTTGTGGAATAAATAATGGCCATTAAGTATTAACTTAATGTCATTATTAATTCTTATAACCCCACCACACCTATCACAGTGCCTGGCACATATTGATCACTTAGCACATTTAGTAACATTAAGCAGCCATTGATCACTTACTATGTATCTCACATATTATAATGCCCTTTTGTAAATGTGATCTCATTTAAACTTATCAGCCCATCCCTCCCTAAATAAAGCATGTTTTATTATCCTCAACTAAAAGGTCAAGAAACTAAGGCTAAGAAATATTACATAGCTTTCTCAGGGTCAAATCAACATCAGAAATGGTGTTCAAGCCCAGCTTCTCTTTCCAGTTGAAGAAAGTACCTGTCCAAGAAAACTCTGTCCAAACTGATCTTTATCAGGTTTATTTAAGGGAAAATAACTGAATGTCTTTGCTATATATTTCCCCAGTAAAAAGCAGTAGAAAAAGAAAGAAGCAAAATAATCTAACACTATGAAAACAGAACATTTATTTCCAGTACATATCTATGATGTCTATCAAAATGGAATGTAATTCTGAGAAGAGCCAAATTACAATTCTTATATGATTAAGTCTTTATCTGCAAGCATTTGACAGATCCTAAGAATCAACCAGGTAAACTGATGTAACAGTACAATGTCTTTCTTCAGTGCATTGAACTGGAAAAAAGTACTAATGAATGCTGATCATGATTTTGACTCCTGATTAGTATACAGAATGTTAATGTTTTCACAGTCAAGAGACAGATTAGTATGTATAGGTGGCTTAAGTGGCTATCTAGCTGGTGTTGCTAGGATTGGCTAAAAAAGAAAACTCTGAATAAATATTTCTCACATAAAACATTATCTGAATGTCTACTCAGAGGGATTCCAGTCAACCATTCTTTACAGTAGAGACTTTATATGAAAAATCCTAATACAACACTCCCAGGAGGCTGTGTGATGGAGAGAAAAGCATCCTGGCTTTGGAGGTCTGTTTTCCCTCTCTGCTAATTACTTGTTCTGTGAACTGGGCAGGTGACTCTTGCAACACAACCAATAGAGTTCTTTTCTCATCTGTGAAATGAGGAGTAGGACCACAGGACCCCTAGTCTTGTCAGCATTACCACTGCTGTGGATTTAGGGGTGATCTTATCACTGCAGTAGGCTGACCTCTCTGGTTCCTCCCCTCCTGGATTTTGATACTCTAATTCACTGTCAACAGTGCTGTGTGGCCCACGGGCTGAGCAGTAGTTGGGTGGTAGAACCGTGGAACTTACAGGAATCAGGGAAATAGTAATTATTTCTATTTATTTCTCTCCACCCCTTTTTGGCATTCAACATGGATTTCGAAGTTTTTGTCAGCTAAGAAGCATTTCTGGTCTTCACTGAGCCATAATTTCATCATCTTTAAAGTGGAGGTAAATAATACCTACTTCTTAGTCTCCATCACAGGCTTCTTTTGCCTTACCTTAAATTACTAGTGAGGTTTTAATGGGGAGTGCATTTGTGACAGTGCTTAACAGAATGCATGGCACATTGAAGGCAGTGCAGGAAGTCAGTTTCTCAATTCTACCTTTGCTTTTTTAGAGTAGCCTAAAGATCAAGTAAACCAACATCCTCACCCTGATACCAAACTCGGCCTATAGAAATGTGTAATGCCTGACTTTTGATGGTTCCTTTGCCTGGAGAAATAAACCAATTATATTTTCCTAACTCAACCACCTCTCAATAAACATCCTTCTGCAGAGCATGATTTCTCTCCTGTGTGTGGGAGTGGGACAGCATCTAATTAGATCTAGGTTCCCTTAATGAGAAGCTGCCCATATGTACTCTCAGCCTTGAATTGCCTGCCCTGATCTGGAGCTATCTACTTGGCCAAGGCTCCAACTGGTGCTTTCTGCCACCAAGAAATCTTAAACAGCTAGGGCTAGAGGATCTAACGACAATGTCAGTAGCGGCATCTTACTTCATATGGTAGATAATTATAACATTCATTCAGAAAAAAAATAAAGAGGCTTGTTGTCATAGTGATGGCTAATTCTCCAAGTTGGATGCATAGCTCCAATTGGAGCATCTGCCAGCACAGAGACACACATCAATTTGTTGTGTATGCTGCAGGAATAATTGAGATTATACTTGAAAGAAAAAAATTTGACATGGACAGGATTTTCTGCATTCATGCTGTATTGCATTCTCTTGTGTATGACGATGGTTTTCCTCTTATCTCTATTTTTCTTTTCCAAAAATATTAGTTTTCAGGGACTTGGTTATACTCCAGGAACCAGTGATGATATTGGCTCCTGATATCCAGGAAGCTTTGAAGGCCCTGAGACCAGTAACTGGGATGTTCAGGTAACCAAGCCTGGGAGCCAATAGGACTTTGTCACTTGTGCAATTAGAACAGATCCAGGCTGGGCACGGTGGCTCATACCTGTAATCTCAGCACTTTGGGAGGCCAAGGAGGGCAGATCACCTGAGATCAGGAATTAGAGACCAGCCTGGCCAACATGATGAAGCCCCGTCTCTACTAAAAGTACAAAAATTAGCCAGGCATAGTGGCTCATGCCTGTAATCCCAGCTACTCGGGAGGATGAGGCAGGAGAATCGCTTGAACCCGGGAGGCAGAGGTTGCAGTGAGCCAAGATCATGCCACTGCACTCCAGCCTGGGCGACAGAGTGAGACTCCATCTCAAATAAAATAAAATAAAATAAAATGAATAGATCCAGCGAGAGCCCCTGATTCAAATGGGTGAATTTAGAAACTTTAGAGAAAAAGGAGATATGGGGTCCTTACCCTTCTGATTCTCTTCTCATCTCCATTGCCAGTCCCAGGTTTCCGGCAGATATGCAGCTTATTGTCCAATTTTATTATTGGGTTAGAGCAGCTCTGCAGAAACTTTGTCTTGTTTTTATGCTGGAGGAACTACAGAAAATTAAAAGAAAGAGAGGGTTAACAGGTATCAAACAACATGTATGAGCCAAGTACTATCCTAGACCCTATTATATCCAGTTTCTCATTTTCCACACCAAAAACAAGAGGGAATTAGTTATTTTTCCAGGATTTATGTGGTTAGTAAGGGGGAAAGATCAGAATCTTCCCATAAACACTTTTAAAATTTATTTTTAATTTCCATAAAAGTTATTGGGGAACAGATGGTGTTTGGTTGCATGAGTAAGTTCTTTCGTGGTGATTTGTGAGATTTTGGTGCAACCGTCACCCGAGCAGTATACACTGAACCCTATTTGTAGTCTTCTTCCAATAAATTCTTAAACCATCTTTTCCCTATGATCCTCAAGCCCAAAACTGGCCCTGGGTAGTAATGTTACTGCCTCTTCTTCCTTATCTCTACTCTGTCACCATGAGACTCTTAAAAGCAAAAGTATTTCCCAAATAGGAGGTAGCACCAATTCGGGAAGAGAACAGGGATGGGGGATGCATGGGGGGAGGAGTTATCAGAACAGAGAAACAATTACTGGACCATATTGCGAGATGGACTGTCAGACGGTCTGCCTACACAATCTTCTATCTGTAGGGTGAAAGAGAAAAATACTAGACTGAAAGTCTGGTAATATGAATTTTATTTTTAGTTCTTATATTACAATTTCCTCCTCTTGTAAATTAAAGTGGTGGGACTAGGTCAGTAACTCTCCTGTGGGGAGGTGGATAGAGGCATCACATATGAAAATAATAGGGAATTGGGGTAAGATGGTACACTTATATATTCTCATTAAATCCCCCCAAAAAATAGATACAGCAAAGACGAATAAACTAAAATCCCACAGAAATAATATACAATCTATTTCCATGAACCCCAGAATATAAGCAGAGTATATATATATATCATAACAAGAATTGTGTTGTATTAAAGGCTATGTGGGAGAATGTGAAGGGAATATAAAGAACTTCCAATGGCGCTGAGAGCCCAAGGACCCCCCCAAATTGCCAATAATCACTCGCTGAAAAGCTTGACTGGTCATTTGTGGACAGTGGTTGAAACTGAGAGAATGCTTTGCAGACTCAGATTTATGGGTCAATACGAACAGCCCATGAAAGCTCAGATAATACCAGTGTGATCTGGAACCTGTAAACCATTGAAACTAACTAACCAAATATTCTTGTAGGAAGGAGCTCAGGACTGAGGACAGACCACTGAGAATAGAATCCAAATTGCTCCAAACAGGTACAATGGGAGCAAAGAAATGCAACAATCTAAGTAAAATAGAAGGAGGGGAGGGGAAACTCAGCACACTGTAAAAAATGTGAAGCAGCTTCCACACCAAAACATCCCATTTTCCAAAAACAAAAGAATAGGGTGCTTCAGAGCTTGGAAGCTAGACAGACTTCCCTGACCATATAGTAATATGATTCCCCGTTCAGTAGTCATTAGCCACATGTGGCTATATTAATTCTAATTAAACTAAAAGAAATTAGGTTAAGGTTTTATTAATTAAATTTCATTAAAATTTAATTAAATTAATATTTAATTTTTCGGCTGCACTAGCCACGTTTCAATTTCTTACCAGCCTGTGGTTGAAGGCTACTGTATTATGTGGTACAGAACCTTTCCATCATTGCAGGGTGTTTTACTGGACAGTGCTAGGCACCTAACAAATAACATGAGCAACAGAAAATGACCACAGTCAAATCCTACACAAAGTCATAAGATAAAAGAAAATATGGTGCAAAATAATGTGCCTATAGAACAAGGATTGGCAAACTCTTTCTGTAAAGATAGTGAATATTTTTAGGCTTTATGAGCCTAGAATAGACAGTAAATATTTTAGGTATATAGAAAAAGTTTTTGGCTTTGTGTGCCATGTGGTCTCTGACACAACTACTCAATTCTGCCAATGTAGAGTAAAATTCACCATAGACAATAAGTAAATGAATAAATGGCTATGTTCCAATAAAACTTTGTTTACAAAAACAGGTGATGGGCTGGATCTGGCTTGTTGGCTGTCTTTTGCCAACCTCTGCTACAGACCATGAAGTTATGTCAAAAAGACAGATCCACTAAACAAATGAAAATGGTAAACAAGGCCAGGTGCAATGGCTCACTCCTGTAATTCCAGCACTTTAGGAGGCTCAGACAGAAGGATCACTTGAGCCCAAGTGTTCAAGACCAGTCTGGGCAACAGGGCAAGACCTCGTTTCTACAGAGAATTTAAAAATTAGCCAGGCATGGTGGTGCATGCCTGTAGTACCAGCTACTTGGATGGCCGAGGTAGGGAGATTGACTGAGCCCAGGAGATCAAGGCTGCAGTGAGCTGTGATTGTGCCACTGTGCTCCTGCTTGGGCAGTAAACAACAGAGCAAGACCAAAAAAAAAGAAAGAACGAAAAGAAAAACAATAACTTAATAATCAAAATCAGCTAAAAGAAAAAAGAATGAGTCAAGTCTGTAAATTTAATCTGTAAATATAGTGGGCATGGAGAAATGTCAGGAGAACTGATAATCTTAGGCTATAAAACATCCTCAATAAATTTCAAGGAAGAGAAAAAATAGAAACAGTACTCTCTGACCATAATACATTAAAGGTGAAAATTTAATTTAAAGGAAAGATCCTTCTACTGATGAATTTTTAATGCTATTAAATAATTCCTGGTTCCAAGAAAAGATAAAAAAACAAACTATAGACTTTCTGGAAAAATTACTAATGTGACCACAATACAAGTCAGAATCTATGAAATATAGCTAAAGCAGTTACCAGAGGAAGTCTAATAGTATTTAATATCCATATGAATAAAAATTAAAGAATAAAATAAATAAGCTAAATACTCAAGAATTTAGAAAAAGAATAAGACAGTAAGCCAAAGGAAAGAATCAATGCAGATCAAAGTAGAAATCAATGAAACATAAAACAGAAAACCAGTAGAAGTAATGAATAAAGGTAAAATCTGGCTCTTTGAAAAAAAAACAACAACAACAAAATGTTTAAACCGCTAGCTAACTCTAACCCAGGTTTTACAAAAATGGGAGTATAAATATACAAACTTAGAAATGATAAGATAAATAATCAAAAGGCCAGAAAAATATTACAAATTTATGAAACTAATCATGACTTATAAAAATGTACCCCAGTAAAAATAGAAAGACTAGAAAGACCAAATACCACAAGAGAAATAAAGCATTTAAAGAACACAAAAGGCCCGGCATGGTAGCTCAGGCCTGTAATCCCAGCACTTTGGGAAGCCGAGGCAGGTGGATCACGAGGTCAAGAGATTGAGACAATCCTGGCCAACGTGGTGAAACCCCGTCTCTACTAAAAATATAAAAATTAGCTGGGCGTGGTGGCACATGCCTGTAGTCTCAGCTACTCGAGAGGCTGAGGCAGGAGAATCGCTTGAACCGGGGAGGCGGAGGTTGCAGCAAGCCAAGATCACGTCACAGGTCACTGCACTCCAGCCTGGCAACAGAGCTAGACTCCGTCTAAAAAAAAAAAAAAAAAGAACACAAAAGCACCAAGACCAGGTGGTTTCTGTTTCTGTCAATAGACTATGTTCTCCTTGAAAGGCATGTTTGCTTCCATTGTATACCCCTCAAAGTTTCTAGGAAGATCTTTTATACAAAAGATCTCTGTTCACTCACATTCTACGCGTATTTACTCGAGCACTTATTAAGTGCATTTTTGTGAAATTGACGCTAGCTGGGGGGTGGTTACAAGCAGCAGTGGTGGTAGCAGTTGGGGTCTGCGGTGGCATGGTAAAAACAAAAAAGCTGCATCAACCAAGAGAGCAGACACCTGCAACTAAAAGGAGCATCATCACTGGGCAACTATGGGCTGGGCAGACCTAGCTTTGAATTCCGATTCTTTCAGTTTATAGCTTTATGACCTCGGGCAAGTTATTTAATTTCTCCAAGTGTTACTCCTCTTACCTCTATGATGAGAATAATAAAAGTACTGACCTTATGTAATTGGTGTGAAGATGAAATGAAATAAAGTGTATAAAGTGCTGGGCTATGCAGTGCCATGAAGTACCCACTCAGTGGATGTTGGCTGCTGTCATCATGACAGGTGTGAGAGTGATAATAATGTGGTGTCTTGAATCGTGTTTCAAGGTTCACAAATGGGAAAAGCAAATTGAAATATGCATTTACTTTCAAAATCCAATCCCTTCAAGCTAGAAGAAACATTGCAATCTGAAACCTTCTCTTCTTGCCCACAGTCTTCCCAATTCAAGACATCTTCCTTAGGGAACACTGGGTAAAAATGATGAGTTGAAATGGACACATTCTTTTGCTCCATTCCTGAACCCCACTAAAACAATAGTAAAGATACATATTTTTAAAGGATATAATTCATAATTAGAGAAACTGAGAAGAGACACAAATTTACAAGAAATAAAATTTTGAAGGGTAAAATGCAAATGAATGAATGCTAACTAATTTAGCTGTACAGGAAAAGTTGAATCTTAAACCAGCACTGGTAAATGTTAAACAAAAAAACTATTTACATGCAGAACCCCTCAAAATTTTACTAATTTGCACTAAGTACCTTAGGAATTGTGAGTGAACAGGCTAGCTTAAAAAGTCTGCTTTTGACAATTATATCCTCTCTACCTTGCAGCCAGGTGAACACCCACCTGGTAGAAGACTAGAAATGTGGTCTCTGAACAGGGTAAATGGATGTTCCCTAAACTAGAGGGCACCAGGCACAATTGAGAGTGGGCTACCATCCTGAAGGACAATAAGAAAATATAAGTGCTCCAAACATTGAGGTCTCAGCTGACACTGCCAACACAGTTACAAAAATGCCAACGCAAGACCAGAGGATCCTTCCCCAGAAATAAAATCAGCCTAAGGGGAAAGATTTACAGATATTGATAAAAATTGGCCCAAACTCACCATTAGAGCCCACAGTCAACCTGTCCCACCCCATGAATCCAGAGCTTCCAATAAACTTTTCTTGTGACCTAGTCTAGTTAGTTTTTGTGGTTCCCCAAGGATCACTATTTGTAACTTGAAATACAGAGACCAAAACAAACACAAGGCACATTAGAGAAAAAAGAAAACATACAGGGAGAAGACAACTGAAAAATAATATATCTTTGGAGAGTTAAGAGATGATATTGCATCCATGCAAAAAGAAGAAGATGCAATTAAAAAGCATACTCAGAGACAAATAAAAGAACACCTAGAAATTGAAAATATAACAGCAGATAAATGAAAATTTAATAGAAGAAACAGAAGTTAAGGTTGAAGACATATATGATAAAATAGAAAAAAATGGCAAACAGAGAGATAGAAGAAACAACAGCCCTCAAAGTCTAAGGTCTAAATAACAGGGCTTCCAAAAGAAGGGAAGAGAAGAAATGGAAGGGAGAAAATCACCAACCAAATAAGTCAGGAAAAGGTCCTCTAACTAAATGACACTAGTTTCCAGATTGAGAGGGCCTGGCACCATGGATAAAATCGCCATAATGGGGGAAAGAGAGGGGAAGAGGGAGAGGGTGAGGCAAGGCCCTGATAGAGACAGAGAGAGAGAGAGAAAGAGAAAGAGGAAAAAGATGGAGAAGTGGGGAGAGAGGAGAGGAAAGAAGGGGAGGAAAGAGAGGGAAAAAACCCAATAACATACAAAGACTCATGAATTTGAATAATTTCAGACTTCTCTCAACAGACATGTTAGAAGCTAGAAGATTATGGAAGGGAGACTTCAACATTCTGAATGAAATGATTCCTGATGTGGAATGTCATAACCAATGAAATCATCAGTCAGGTGTGAGAATTAAATAAAGACAACTTCAGAGATGAATGTTCTCAAAATTTTACCTGCCCTATATTCTTTTTCAGAGAGGTTTGCTCTGCCAAGGGATGTAGTTCCTTTAAAGAAGGGAGAAAACCAATAAAGAGGAAAATATGGATACAGAAAACTGGGAATCAAAGAGAGGTGAAGGGGATCCTAATGATGACTTGAAACAGGAATTAAAAGAAAATAAAGAACATGTAAGCAAAAACTCAGTTGTATGTAAGAAAACCCAATTCCCCCTTAAGAAGAGAAAGAGCTGGCGTCCTTTAAAATTAACTGCCTGTTTTTCTGTGGCTAGTGACCCTTATCTCTCCCTTTCCCAGGCATTATGAAGACTGTTTCTCTAGCTGTGCAGCTGCAAGGTCACCAGACAGATAATCTCAAGTCATAAACCATGTTGTTCCTTAAAAAGTAAGAAATGATGTAATGCACGTCTCAATTAAATAAGTGTCTTTGTTTCTCCCTTCTGTAATATGCTTCCCCCTGCACAGATCTCCCCCCACCCCACAAAATGTTTAAAAGGTAGCTTGACTCTTGGTTTGGGGCTCAGTCGTTTGGATGTTAATCCGAGTGGGTCAGTGCACCTAAATAATTAAATAATTCCTCCTCAGCCCCTCGGTCTCTCTGATTCCTTAATTATCCCCCACCACAGACTGACCAGGCAGATCCAATGATGCAGCTATGCACCCAGCAAAAAGGTTAAAATCAGCACTCTGGAATCCAACAGAAGGCCCCCAAAAAATTCTTCAGAAAGTTATCATTGATAGAATAACTGATACTTTTGAACATTTTGAGAGAAAACCTGAATAGGTGGCAGAACTTTGGATGAATTAGGTTACCTACATTGAAAAAAATAAGCAAATTAAAAACTATAAGACCATCATTGGCTCTAAAAAATAATAAAAAGTTATTCAGAAAAAAGAATCAGTTGAAAGTACATGTTTCACTGTTTAAACAGTGTTTGCGCAGTCAAAATCATAAAGAGGATTTAAACCCCTGGCTAACCCTAACCCAATTTTTTACAAAAGAGGAAGTATAATATATAAACTTAGAAATGACAAGATAATCAGCGAACCAGAAAAAAATGAAACCTTATGAAACTAACTTATGAACTCTGTGCAGACACATTTAAATCTAGCCCAGGTTAGGACATAATTGTCATGAGAAGATTTGGATAGTATGAAAGGATGTGCATATGTGATAATGGAAGAGGGAGAAAACTGAAAAAAACATAAGTATCTCTATCCTGAATCAAATACCAAAAAGTAGTGGCTAAAATAGGTGAAAGTGGTGTGTTGGAGAGGTGGACATGAAAGAAAGGGGGAGAAGGGCGCTACTGCTTTCTGAAACGAATCTTGTGGACTTGTCAACCATCAGCGTATGTATAATCCTTATTAAAACAAGTACACAAACAAAAACTGAAAAACTGAAGTAAATCTCAATTGGGGCATAAGCTCTCTGCTTGTGAACTTCACTTCTGATTCTGAAGGGTTTCTAAGCAAGCCTAACACACGGTATATTTTCCCCACCAATCTTTTTTTTTTTTTTTTTTTTGATGGAGTCTCACTCTGTCACCCAGGCTGGAGTGCAGTGGCGTGATCTCGGCTCACTGCAATCTTCACCTCCCGGGTTCACGCCATTCTCCTGCATCAGCCTCCCGAGTAGCTGGGATTACAGGCGCCCACCACCACGCCCAGCTATTTTTTTTTATTTTTAGTAGAGACGGGGTTTCACCGTGTTAGCCAGGATGGTCTCAATCTCCTGACCTCATGATCTGCCCGCCTCAGCCTCCCAACGTGCTGGGATTACAGGCATGAGCCACCGCGCCCGGCCCCCACCAATCATCTTTTAAGCAAAAGAACGTGAGGGAGGATGTGTTTGTGAATGTGGTACACCTACGTAGCCGTATGACAGTGACTGGTGTTTGAAAACAACCAGTTTTTATATGTGCAAACGCCACATAATGTTTTCTAAGCAGTTATCCCTTATTGCCTACACTCAGATTTCTAGGCAGCTGCCCTGCGGGTGGAGGGCGGAAAGGAAAAGACTCTAACAGAGGGGAGTGGCCACGAGAAGCATCTAGACAACCCACCAGATAGCAGTTAACAAGGTGGTAACTGCCAGTGGTCAGAATAATATAAACAACAGCAATGACAACATTCATGGGAGTGTAGACATCTAGTTTACAAAAGACTCATATCCTTAAAAAAAAAAGTCCTAATTGAGGCAAGCATCGTTGTGTCTGTAAGACAGCTAAAGCATGGGTAATCTGGGTCAGCAATTCCATGTGGGCTCCCAGCCAATGGCCAGGATCATCTGCCAGCTGTGTGAGTGAACTGTCTTGGATGTCCACCCCATTTGGCTAGGTGATACCAAACCCAGCTTCTCTCTGACTATAACTCCAGAGAACTTCATGTGAGACTCTCCAGGCTGAGCCTATCAGTGCAGAGAACCATGAGAAGTAATAAGAAATTTCTGTTTTAAGCAACTAAATTTTGGAATGGTTTCATGCAGCAAAAAATACACAGAACAAGGATGATCTACACTAGTCCCCTCATTTTACCACCAGGACAATCAAATCCAGAATAGAGGGCGGCCTTCCCAGGGTCTCAGAATAGCAGGGTGGAGGTTGAGTCTGGAACAGATTCAGGCCTCCATGGCTTTAGGCCATGCGTTCATTGTCCAAGGCTATTTAATCTACACTAAATACTGCCAGTATTTTTTCCCCTTTCCCTTCCTTCTCCTTCTCCTCCTCCTCTCTCTCCTCTTCCTCCTTCTTCCTCTTATAACTCTTTATTTTGATACGTCAAAATTAAGAAAAGTTTCAGCAATAATGCAAGAAACTCCCATACACTCTTTACCCAAATTCACCAATTGTTGGCATTTAGTCTCCTTTGCCAATGTTCTTTTAAAGAGAACATTTTTCCATAGGAAGGCTGCCCACAAAATGAATTCCCACTGAGTGGTTAGTCACCAATCAGATAGATCATCCCAGCAGGAATGGGAGCAAGAATAGGCACCCAGGAATGCAAGGCACGTAGGAGGGAAAGCTATGGAGAAAAGAGGAATGTTAATCAGGAAGAAAGAGCATAAAAGGGAGACCAGAATCACCATAGACAAATTTGTCTGCAAGACATAGTCCCCAGGAGTTTCCTGAACTAGCCTGCCTTCCTGAATACACCACGAACCTGAAGTCTGCAGGCACACTCTTGAATCTTACCACTAGCTGCATGGCCTCGGGCGAGTTTCCTTCCTATCCGGGAGCCTCGGTTTTACCTCTCTTTATAGGCCATATTAAATAAGTCGACGTTACGTGGAAAGGCTTTATGAATAGTGCTGAGTAAAGGAATTTTAATCATTTGCATCTGATAGAATCACTTCACTTGGGGAGGCATTTGTTTGGTTGGTTGTTTGGTTGGTTTTTTGAGACAAGGCCATACTCTGTCACCCAGGCTGGAGTGCAGTGGCATGATCTCAGCTCACTACAGACTCAACTTCCTAGGCTCAAGCAATCTTCCCACCTCAGCCTCCCAAGTAGCTAGGACTACAGGCGCACCAACACACCCGGCTAATTTTTGTACCTTTTGGAGAGATAGAGTTTTGCCGTGTTGCCCGGGTTCACCTGGGGAGCTTGTGAAAACTTTTGGTTCTATATCCCCATCTTTGGAAATTCTTATTTAAGTGGCATGGGGTGGAGTCCAGGCACTACTGTTTGTTTGTTTTTTTAAGCTCCTGAATAGTTTTAAATTTTCTGCCAAATTTGAGAGATGGCTGAGATAGTCAATATGACTATCATCCAGTATCTGCCTAGACTCCCAGAACTCTTGCAGACTGGGCTAGATGTCCTCTGCCCTTTGCCCACTTCTGTTGCCACCCTCATCACAAAAGTGAAACATGATAGTTAGATGGGCTTCCTATTTCATTTCTGCATCCTCTGATAATTTGCATCAGAAAGATTGCTTCCTGGAAGTGCCTTGCAGATTGTCAGTCTCTCTGTAACTAGTCAGTTTAATCCTTGCGCAGAGGTTTTTTGTTTCCGCCACAGTTTAACAGCTGTCACTCTTCCCCTCCAGCAGTTTATAAACCTAATTGCTACTGTACAGATCTATGTAATTTGGGATTGACGGGAACTGACTCACATGCAAATACCTCTGTAAAGAAGTGTGGGAGGGATTTTATATTCCTTGGTGGTCTTAGGAAGGCAGAATAATAATTTCTCAGATGAATATCACTTTTTTTAGTTACAAAAATATCCTTTCTGATGCATTTATTTCCCTCTTTTTTTTTAACTACAAATATCTTTGAGATGAACTACTCATACATTTTGAAGTTGAATCCTTCCCTTTCTCCCTCCCTCTCTCCCTCCGTCCCTCCCTCCCTTCCTTCCTTCCTTCCTAGCATTTCTTGAGCTCCTGCTTTGTTAGGCATAGAGGATGCAAAGATGAATAAGAATGTATTCTACCTTCCGTGAGACTCATAGTCTAAGGATAGAGAGAGACAAACACAACACAATTTGAAAGATGTTATAATAGAGGTACACAGACTTCTGTAGGACCATCCTTTGATTAGGATATTTACAGGAGAGAGGAGATATTTTATTTGAATTTGGAAGGGTGAACTTAAGACTTCTTCAGGCAGACATCTGAGGAACGATATTCTGAGCAAAAGAACAGTATGTGCAAAACTCCTGGGCATTAACTAACAGAGTGTGTTAGGACAATTGTCATGGCAGTCCAGAGAACAGAAGGGTTTTCTTGGGAGAAGAGATATGATGAATGAGGATTATTGCCTAGCACTTGCTACTGAAGGAAATTCTTAAGGGAAACATCCATCTTAATCCAATTTATCTCGAGGTCTGGTTGGTCCCCCATTTCTCAGGTCCCCAAACTATTTTCTTGGCATCCATAGAGGCTCTCTGATTTGGATTTCTCCAACCTCACCTCATACTGCTCACCCGTATACTCACTGTGGTCCAAGCACACAGGCCTTCTTTTTCTTCCTGACTGTCCACTCATTCCTGCCTCTAGGCCTTGGCTCTTGATAATCCTTTTGTCTAGAATTTGGTTCTTCACATGGTTGCCTCCTTCTTGTCATTCAGGTCTCAACTCAAATATCACCATCTCCAGGAAGCCTTTCCAGAAGACTCCATCTACAGTTACCCTTCCCCATCCACTCACTTTCTGTGAACCTGCCCATAAAACTTTTTCTAAAGAGGTCATCATTATTTAAACTAATTTTGTTTACTTGTTCATATGTTACTGTCCATCTCCTTCTTAGAGAATATACACTCCATGAAAGGATGCTCTTTGTCTTATTTTCCTGCTGAATCCCCAGCCCTTAGCGAGTCCATGACACTTGGTAAGTGTTCAACAAATTTGCTGAATAAAACAGCTGACCCATATTTTTTATTGAAGCTATCTCTTCCCAGGGGCCAGAATACCCATTCTTCTACCCTCATTTTCTAGTATCAAGGTATCTCAGAAGTAAGATCAGAATTGTTATTGATGAGCATGGAAAGAAAACAAAGAAATTGAGAGCCCTAAGAATTATGCTCTGGCTAAATGAGGCCTGAGGAAATGTCCCTACCTTACCACAGGAACAACCCAGAGTACTGGTATCTCCCATCCTCTGCCTCTCTTCCTCCAGGCAGTGCTGGGGGCTCATCTGCCTCTGTGTCCTCATTTTCTAGTTTACTGCATCACTTCTGGTAGATTGGCTCCTTCACTCTGTCAGTTCTACAGTTGCATTGCTATGATTGTGACTCTGAAAGGCGCCACCTCTTCATACTCTCAGGATTCATGCCATGTGCACAACGTGACCCACGTGAAGGGAGAGGGAGCACGTTCCATGCCATATGGGGATGCGGGTGACACAGAGTCACAGGAGGCTGGAGTGAGGAGGGGAAGCCAAGGACGTCTATCACCCTGAGTGACTTGACTGTCTCATTAGTTGTTCATTTCTAACAAATTTTGAGGGTTTTAAGACTGTCCTTTTTTTATATACTTACAATTTAAGTAAATCCTATGAGTGAAAGCACTTTCCAAATTCATTTTCTTTGGTTAAAATGGAAATCAATTCAAAAAGCATATTTTAAAAAGAAAAAAGCAAAATAATCTAAGGAATGTGTTTATTTTATCTTGCATCCAAGGAAGGAAACCTTGCATCAGCTAAAGACAGAGTCTTCTCTTTCTCGGCCTTGGGTACTCAGGAGTGAATCCCGTAGCTAAAGGCAAACTTTGATTTCAGCCTCCTAGATGGCCTTAGTTACCTGGTGAAAATCATGGAAGGTGATGCCAAGTGGTATTTGAACTTGTCAGTTTCTTTTACTGCTTTGGGGATATAGATATTTTCCACTCTAATGTGGCAAAATATTCAATCAGCTTAAATTATGCATGCATTCCAGATCAAGCCAGCTAGATGTCAGGAGCAATTCAATATTTTTTTTGAATTTGGAAGCCTGAAAGCCAGCAAGATAAAAGTTTAGGAGAGCTAGACACAAATTAACCCTGCAAAATGAAGAAAAACAAGTACAGAAGTGAAAAAACTTTTACTCCCTGGCTGTGCCAATTAGTCACCGGGTACTAATGACAGTGGTAATACCACCACAGTGACAGTGGTATTAGTACTAATGACAGTGGTATAGTGGGATCACTAGTGGGTATTAGTACTAATGACAGTGGCACAGTGGGATCATTCTAGTAATATTGAACAGCCAGTTTTAATTTCCAGTGCCTGCCTCAAATTTCTGAGTCTTCTTCATTTTTAAAAATAGATGTCAGGTACATGTTACATTGTCACTTGCTTTGTGATTGTCACAATGATGTCACTTCTCTGTGTCAATGCATTCATTTTTCAGTGGAGGACACTTTATCAGGGTCAATTTAGCTATATAGAGGTGGGCACTGGTGTTTCTGGTTACCTTAAGTGGCATAATTTATTAATTCTGGGAATTCAGGAAACATTTATAAAACATCTACTGTGTGACAAGAAACTGAACTAGTGTGGACATAGATGAGACATTGGCCCTGCATGCAAGCCATCTCTAAACTCTTGATATATAGCCCAGTAATGCTGGTGCAAAGTAGAGTGGGGTAAGTCTTATGGAGGCAATGCAAACTAGGGGCTTGTGGTTGGGGCATGAGGAAAGGAAATTCATTATAAGTCGAGGATCCAAAGACAGTTTGGATTTTAGCTGAGATTGTTAAGAATATGTTAAATTTCAACAACATATAATGGCAGGGGAGAGTGTTCCAGAGAGAAGAAACTGCTTGAGCAAAGACATGGGACTGTACAAAAACCAAGTATCTTGTGATAACAGTGAATGTGGTTGGAGACCAGGATGTTAATGACACCAGGAGAGGCATTGAATGAGGGAAAGAGAGATGAGCAGAACATAGTGAACTGCTAAAGGGTTATAAAAAGCATTGAATGGTAGACTGAAGCATTCGGTCAATGTTTAGTAGGTACGAGAGTCTCCTAAGGCTCCTGTTTTAGACTATATGCTTGCGTCCTGTGATGTTTAGTACTGAGTGCCCACTCAACTGGATTGAAGAATACAAAGTATTGATCCTGGGTGTGTTTGTGAGGCTGTTGCCAAAAGACATGAACATTTGAGTCAGTGGGCTGGGGTAGGCAGATCCACCCTTAATCTGGTGAGCACAATCTAATCAGCTGCCAGCGAATATAGAGCAGGCAGAAAAACGTGAAAAAGAGAGACTGTCTTAGCCTCCCAGCCTACATCTTTCTCCCATGCTGGATGCTTCCTGCCCTCAAACATCAGACTCCAAGTTCTTTAGTTTTGGAACTCGGACTGGCTCTCCTTATTCCTCAGCTTGCAGACAGCCTATTGTGGGACGTTGTGATCATGCAAGTTAATACTTAATAAACTCCCCTATTTATAGTTCCTCTCTATATATACAGTTAGTTCTGCTCCTCTTTTAATTGGAACATTTAGCCCATTTACATTTAAGGTTAATATTGTTATGTGTGAATTTGATCCTGTCATTATGATGTTAGCTGGTTATTTTGCTCATTAGTTGATGCAGTTTCTTCCTAGCATAGATGGTCTTTACAATTTGGCATGTTTTTGCACTGGCTGGTACTGGTTTTTGCTTTCCATGTCTAGTGCTTCCTTCAGGAGCTCTTGTAAGGCAGGCCTGGTAGTGACAAAATCTCTCAGCATTTGTTTGTCTGTAAAGGATTTTATTTCTCCTACACTTATGAAGCTTAATTTGGCTGGATATGAAATCCTGGCTTGAAAATTCTTTTCTTTAAGAGTGTTGAATATTGGCCCCCACTCTCTTCTGGCTTGTAGAGTTTCTGCCAAGAGATCCACTGTTAGTCTGATGGGCTTCCCTTTGTGGGTAACCCGACCTTTCTCTCTGGCTGCCCTTAATATTTTTTCCTTCATTTCAACTTTGGTGAATCTGACAATTATGTGTCTTGGAGTTGCTCTTCTCAAGGAGTATCTTTGTGGTGTTCTCTGTATTTCCTGAATTTGAATGTTGGCCTGCCTTGCTAGGTTGGGGAAGTTCTCCTGGATAATATCCTGAAGAGTGTTTTCCAGCTGGGTTCCATTCTCCCCGTCACTTTCAGGTACACCAATCAGACATAGATTTGGTCTTTTCACATAGTCCCATATTTCTTGGAGGCTTTGTTTGTTTCTTTTTACTCTTTTTTCTCTAAACTTCTCTTCTCGCTTCATTTCATTCATTTGATCTTCAATCACTGATACCCTTTCTTCCACTTGATCAAATCAGCTACTGCAGCTTGTGCATGTGTCACGTAGTTCTCGTGCCATGGTTTTCAGCTCCGTCAGGTCATTTAAGGACTTCCCTACACTGCTTATTCTAGTTAGCCATTCGTCTAATCTTTTTTCTAGGTTTTTAGCTTCTTTGCGATGGGTTCGAACATCCTCCTTGAGCTCGGAGAAGTTTGTTATTACTGATCATCTGAAGCCTTCTTCTCTCAACTCATCAAAGTCATTCTCCATCCAGCTTTGTTCCATTGCTGGCAAGGAGCTGTGTTCCTTTGGAGGAGAAGAGGTGCTCTGATTTTTAGAATTTTCAACTTTTCTGCTCTGGTTTCTCCCCATCTTTGTGTTTTTATCTACCTTTGGTTTTTGATGATGGTGACATACAGATGGGGTTTTGGTGTGGATGTCCTTTCGGTTTGTTAGTTTTCCTTCTAACAGTCAGGACCCTCAGCTGCAGGTCTGTTGGAGTTTGCTAGAGGTCCACTCCAGACCCTGTTTGCCTGGGTATCACCAGCGGAGGCTGCAGAACAGGAAATATTGCAGAATGGCAGATGTTGCTGCCTGATCCTTCCTTTGGAAGCTTCCTCTCAGAGGGGCACCCGGCTGTATGAGGTGTCAGTCGGCCCCTACTGGGAGGTGTCTCCCAGTTAGGCTACTCAGGGGTCACGGACCCACTTGAGGAGGCAGTCTGTCCGTTCTCAGCTCTCAAACTCCATGCTGGGAGAACCACTACTCTTTTCAAAGCTGTCAGACAGGGACATTTAAGTCTGCAGGAGTTTCTGCTGCCTTTTGTTTGGCTATGCCCTGCCCCCAGAGGGGGAGTCTACAGAGGCAGGCAGTCAGGCCTCCTTGAGCTGCAGTGGGCTCCACCCAGTTCAAGCTTCCCAGCCACTTTGTTTACCTACTCAAGCCTCAGCAATGGCGGACGCCCCTCCCCCAGCCTCGCTGCTGCCTTGCAGTTCGATCTCAGACTGCTGTGCTAGCAGTGAGTGAGGATCTGTGGGTGTGGGACCCTCTGAGCCAGGCGCAGGATATAATCTCCTGGTGTGCCATTTGCTAAGCCCATTGGAAAAGCACAGTATTAGGGTGGGAGTGTCCCTATTTTCCAGGTACAATCTGTCATGGTTTCCCTTGGCTAGGAAAGGGAATTCCCCCAACCCCTTGCACTTCCCAGGTGAGGTGACGCCCAGCCCTGCTCAGTGTGCTGCATCCACTGTCCAACAAGCCCCAGTGAGATGAATCTGGTACCTCAGTTGGAAATACAGAAATCACCTGTCTTCTGCATTGCTCACCCTGGGAGCTGTAGACTGGAGCTGTTCCTATTCGGCCATCTTGGAACCTCCCCCATTAGTTCTGTTCCTCTAGAGAACCCTAATACATGTCCCTTCAAAATTCACATGTTGAAATCCTAACCTCTAGTGTTGTGATATTAAGAGGTGGGGCCTTTGGGAAGAAATTAGATAATGAGTGTGGGGCCCTCTTGAATTGGATTAGTGCCCTCATAAGAAGACACATGAGTGCCTCCTCTTTCCCTCTCTGCCCTCTGCCACCTGAGGATACAATGAGAGATGGCTATCTACAAACTAGGAAGAGTGCCCTCACCAGACACCAGATCTGCCAGCACCTTGATATTGGACTTCCCAGGCTTCAAACCTGAGAAATAAATGTTTGCTGTTCAAGTCACCCAGTCTATGGTGGTTTTGCTATAGCAGTCTGAACTAAGTTTCTGAGCCAAAGAATGACAGAATTGCTTTTGGAAAATAATTTAAGCTGCAAGGTCACAAGGGCTTGGGCTAAGGGAGTGGCAGTCAGAAAGGCATGGAGGACTGACAGCTCTTATTGCTGACCCCGTTTTCATCTGTGAGGACTAAGTGCAGGACACTAGGAACATGAGATAAATAATAAAAAGTTTAGCTTCACGATGTTTGCAGTCGACTAATATAATGTCCAACCAGCGTTGTTTCCAAGGACTCCTGCTCCTATAACTGAGGACCTTCTGATTGTATCTCTAGAGCTAATAACGAATGCTTAAACAAAAAGTGAAAATTTCGAACGTTCACCCAGAACTAGTATTTGCTAAAAACACATAGTTTGATATTTTGAACATGACCAAAAAGGAGATTGTGATTATTCTTTTTATTCAAGTATTTGCTAAAAATGAACACCAAAACCCAATAAAAAGAAGGCTAAATCTCCTTTATCTCCAATAACTTGGATTCAGGAAACCTGTGTTCTAATTGTATAATTTACCCACTGTGGACTTCATTTTTCTTGTTTGTAAATTAATGATAATACTTGGTCTTTCTGCTTCAAATAGGATGATGGATATTGTGTCAACTGTGAATATTAAAGAATGATCATAAGTGGTCAAATTTTTGGTAAAATCAAAGCTCCATTTTAAAATGTCTACAGAAAAAGATGAGCTGAGTTCCCCATTCCTTATCACACTGTTTAGGAGCTTGGATACTCCTGATCAACCTTCTATTTCCAAGTTGTATCCCCCTAAACAGACAGTAAGGTCTACGCTGCTAAGAATCAAGCCTGTTATTCACAAATATATCACACAACATCTAGAACAATTTTTGGCACATAGTACGCACTCAATAGAGGTTGATGGAGTGAAATAAAATGATGACTATGAGTGCCTTTTTCTTCACATTAGATGCAGGCTTTTTATTTCTGGCTTTTTAACCATTCAGTTATCAACCTGCATTCACATTATCTTTATTTTCATTCAAAAAAAAATTGTTGAATATCTACTATGTGCTGGTTACTATGAAAGTGGTAAAAAAAAAAAAAAAAGGCTTGGTGTCTGCCTTAATGGAGTTTTTAATAATTACATTTTTATTATAACCAGACTTATGAATCCTATCTTTTCTAAATTAATTCTATATATTATAATTTCTATGAAAATTACTTAAAATTAAGTTACATTTATGTCCTTTGAGATCATCTGAACCATCTTGGGATATCCCAAGCCCAAACTGAGAAAAGAAAAGAAATTTTATCCAAGGAATGCAAAGCTTTTAAATGATCAGGCCCAGAGAGTCATTAAAACAATCACATCCTGCCTCCCACTTGAGCTACATATTCATCTCTTGACTGCTTGCTATTGCCATGAATATAAATTAACCTAATAATGCCACACAGACACTAATCCACTATAACCTTGTAGCTTAACAATGTATATAGCCGATCACTAATCATTGTTATTTCTGTAAACCAATGAGAATTCCTGACAAATAACTTTGTATCAACCCACTCCATTTTTCCCTTTTAAAACCCACTTGTTACAAAGGCAAAACATTCTTCACATCCAAGGTTATTTAGATCTGAGTCGTCAGGGCAGCTGTCCTTATTTTGGCTCAAGTACACTCTTTAACTTTTTTTTTTTTTTTTTTTTTTTTTGATATGGAGTCTCACTCTGTAGCCCAGGCTGGAGCTGGAGTGCAGTGGTGCGATCTTGGTTCACTGTAACCTTCACCTCCCAGGTGTCCGTTCAAGCAATTCTTCTGCCTCAGCCTCCTAAGTAGCTGGAATTACAGGCATGTGCCACCATGCCCAGCTAAGTTTTGTATTTTTAGTAGAGCCGGGGTTTCACCATGTTGGCCAGGCTGGTTTTGAACTCCTGACCTTGTGATCTGCCCTCCTCGGCCTCCCAAAGTGAAACTCTTTAAATTATATTTTGTATCTCAGCCTCTTCCTGTTAAGTCAATAAAGTTTTTTTAAAAAGCAAAATAACTCTGTCATAATGATTAATAACCATAGGTTTTTTAAATTACCATAATCAATACACTACTGATACTTAAAACATAATTACATAAAAGTTTTTTTTTGGTTGAGGCTTTTTAAAAATGGATTTTAATTATTGACAGAGTCCTTTATGCCCAGGCTAACACTAAAAACCGATTTTTTGAATTTAGCTTCTTTTTAAAATTGAATTCTATCAAACAACCAAAGAGTGAGTGTGCACATACGCATGCTATATGGCACTTGAGAATCAATTTATGAAACACTGACGCTTCAACCAAATATTTTGGTTCAAGAAAATAAAACATAAAGCAGAGTGTTCCAGAAAATGATGAGATATAAATTTATCAAAATTGCCAATCAGCAAAACCTAAAATAAAGATTTGAAATACATGTGTGGATGAAATAAAAATATTTCACCCCCAAACATACTTCTTTGACATATTTTGAGATGACCCTTCAGAGGGCCAGCAAACAGCAGTAGCCCTGCAAAGCTGTCTTCTGTGGTGGAGATTTGCACCTGTAGACAATCTGCACTGATGCAGCTGGGCTTTCTTTGGAGCCCTCCCTTGTCCAGGTAAAAAAAAATTAATTTAGAGTCTGAAACCTTTAAAATTCTGAAAGAAACGCTTACCATCGCTGCTACCTGCAAGGTTCTATCTCCGTAAGAAGACCACCTTTGCTAGCCAAGCCTCTCTCTCACCTCTCTCTCTCTCTCTTTCTCTCTGTCTCTGTCTTTCTCTCTCATAACCTGTACTGCCAAACCATAACCTGATTTTCCACCATAACCTGTTTTTGGCCATGCACTGAGTCCCCATTCTATCTGTAGCCTCAAGATGGTTTATAAGCTTCTGTACCCCACTGGGAGACTGGGATAATCACTGATTTCCCCTCTTTGCATGTTAATAAATTTGTATGCCATTTATCCTGTGAAAGGAAAATAAGTCTCAGCACCCCAAAATCACTAAGTCAAAGGGAAAAGTGGAGCTGGGAATTGTGTGGGGCAAACCTCCCATTATGCCTCCCATTCCTAAATAAGATAGGTGTAAAGATTGTAAAAAGCTACATACCTCCGTCACAATTTGCCCACTAGAAAATTCCTTGTGGGCCTCAAATCTTTACCCTAAAATGGTTCTGTTGAATTTTACCCTGACAATGTAAATTGATAGCTTATCTTCACAGGTGTGGGACAAAAGACAGAACTCTAAGTCATCTCTCTGCTCACCTGAGACAAAAGGGCATCTGATTGATTCCTATGATGTAAAAAAGCAGATTCACTGAGCCAGACTAAGGCGGAAGTGACTATTCCTCTACCCCCACTCACAGGAAAATTGTGTATTCAATAAAAGCCTGATCAAAGACTCAAAAGAACACAACCATTTGTCTCTTACCTACCCATACCTTTAAAAATTTCTTCCTCCTTCCCAATATCCACCGTTTCTCCTTTAAAGGTTGAAATATTTCTCCAAAGATGTTTGGTTTACACTTCTATTAATCTGCCTCTTTTCAGCTGATTTTTCAGTGAATCTTAGGGTGAAGGGGACATTTTCTCTTAGCCCTTACACATGTTGTTAGAAGAATTTCTGCTTCCAAAAATCCACTTTCTTAATATAGATGTCAAACTTATTTGCACTGTGATCAGAGAATGTAACCCAAAAACTCATGAGAATTGTATTGAGACCTCTCTGGTCTAACATGAGGCCAATTTTCTGCAAGATTCTATGTGAGATCAAAAACAAGTACTTTCCTGTTGCTGGATGTTGAATACATGTTTTTCAATGCTTAAAAGGTCAGAATTATCTTTGTGGAGATCTGTAGTTTTCAAAATATTTAAGAAACCTCTTTATCTCTGGCAATACTTTTAATATAAAGTCTACCGTTTTGACATTTCCCTAGAATTTATTTTTCCATCTGCTTATTTTAATGTCTTTATGCCTTTGTGTTTTAGTTATGTCTTTTGTAAACACCATATAGCTAAGTTTGTAAGTTTGCTTTTAAATCCACTCTGAATATTCCTGTCTTCTAACTGGAGTTTATTTCACTCTCATTGATTGTGATAACTGATATGTGTAAGTTAATGCAACTGAGCTTTTATTATAAAGGTCATAAGATGTTTGTTTTACTTATTTTCCTTTTTCCTTGCCCTCTTCTTCCTCCATGCATGATTGCTTGCACGTAGTCACATTGGTAGAGGGTAGTCACTGGTCATTGATTAACTTCATATTCTGACTCCTTGCGCTGCCCACAAGATTGATGAACTTGTTTTTCTTTACAAGAACAACGATCCTTAGGTCATGCAGACCTCCTTGATAGCATCCAGAAATTTAATCAGGACCGATGAAATCTAGAGTCCAAGGGATGCAAACAACTTTGGTCATCAGGGGGTCCCATTTCCCGTATCCCTATCTTACTCATAAAAGCCTTCAGTTATGTTGAAAGGCAGATCAGATTTGAAAGACTGCTTCTCCTGCCTTCTCACTTTGGCCAAATCAAACAAACCTTTCTCTGCTCCTGAGCGCTGATCTGCCAGTGTTTGGCTTACCATGTATCAGGTACATGAACCTAAATTTGGGGGTTCAATAACGTTGATTTCTTTCATCTTGTTTCATAATTTCCATTTGTTCTTCTTTTTACTGTTTCTTTTAATTCTTTTTTCATGTTTTGGATTGATTGTGTCCCTGGTTCCCACTCCATTCAACTTATTTTCCTCCACCAGTTTAGGAGTTTTACATTCCACTATTCCAGCTACCCTTAAAATTTTACATGTCCATTTAACATAATATTGTCCAAAGTAAATGGTCTTAGCATATTTGTCTTCTGAACAACAAAAGGAAAGTGAAATGGCCTGAGGCAATCACCCTGTTTACTTTACATGCCATTGCTGTTTAAGATATGAGTTTTGTCTTGATTTTTTTTAACACTACAAATTGAACGACATTGTTAATTTCTTTTACAGTCAATATCTGTTTAGTTTTAGCCACACAAGTCTACACTTTGTTTGGTATTCCTTTCATTTCTCAGAACTTAATTCTGGGATTCTTTTTTTTTTTTTCTCTGAAGAACATTACCTAGATTTTCTTCTATGAGAGTTTGCTGGAAGTAAATTCAGTTTTTGTTTGTTGAAAATGTCTCTATTTCTCAATTGTTCTTGATGGATGATGTCGTTACACATACAAAATTATTTTGACAATTATTTTCTCTCAGTACTTTGAAGACATGTCTTCTGATTTCAACTGTTGCAGTTGAAAAGTAAATTACCAGTTTTGTAGGTAATATTTTTTTCTCAACTGCTTTTAAGATTTGTTTGTGTTCTACAGTTTCTCTACAGTGTGTTTCAGTGTGAATTTCTTTTCATTTATTCTGCTTGGGATTTATTAGGCTTTCTGAATCTAAGTCCTTATTAATTCCAGAAAATTTCAGCCATTACCCTCTCAAATATTTTCTGTCTTCCATTCTATCCATTCTCTTGAAATTCTGCTAAGTACATTAGAGACATGTACTCCAGCCTCTGTGTGTCTACATTTTTTTAAATGTTAATTTTTTTGCCTCTCTATTCTTTCTATCACTTCATCAAGTCTGTCTTACAGTTTAGTAACTCTTCCTTCTGCTGTGCCTAATACACTATTTAACCCATCCATTAATCTTCTAATGCCAATTTTATATTTTTAATAAATAAAATTCATAATTAAGATCTTCAATTCCACCTGGTCAAACTTCATAATCTTTACTTTTCTTATTTTAATTACGCTTTTTTTACTTTAGGAATTTTAATGATATCTATTTTATATTCTGTTTCCGGTAACTCTAATATCTGCCATTCTCATGGATAAGACGTGGGAGCTTGTTGGTTTTGCTAATTCCCATATAAACTAACCCATGTGGACAGTGCTTTCTGCATGTGAGGTCATTTTCCTTGAGGATTCTGTGTAGAAATTCTTTGCTGCCTGAGTTTAAAATGCTTTTCTTCAGAAGACTTGTATTTGCTCCTTCTAGCCATCAAGAGGCCCTGTCACCCTAGGACCACACTTTAAACTCAGTTTTTGGCTTGGATTTTTTTGGTGCCACATGGTAGGGTAAACTCAGGCCTCCAACTCATTTGAACACTGCCCAGGTTTAGGAATTGTGAGAAGAAACTTTTGTTTTCTTTTCTGTATTTTCTGCTCTACCCAGAATCAAGCCTGTTGTCCATTACTTCCCTCTGCAAGTTGTGGAGATCTTCCCCATCGGAGAATTTAGGTTTGTGTGGTCGTCTGCAACCCCAGTCCCCACTCTGCTCAGGCTCCAGCTTTGGCTCCAGTTAGGAGCCCAATCTTAGGTCACCCATGGTGAGAGGTCACACAATGACAAAACTGTCCCGGAAGATCCACACCGTCTTTCACGTCTGGCCTTCTTTACTTTCCAATCTCATCCATACATTGAATTTTAGGTGGGTTATACCATGAGAGGTTTATCTAAACATCTATTTTACCAAAGGTTGGTCCTCAACCTTTCCCTTAAAACCCTCTTCTTGGCCGGGCGCAGTGGCTCACGCCTGTAATCCTAGCACTTTGGGAGGCCGGGGAGGGCGTATCACCTGAGGTCGAGAGTTTGAGACTAACCTGACCAACATGGAGAAACCCAGTCTTTACTAAAAATACAAAATTAGCCGGGCATGGTGGTGGGCGCCTGTCCCAGCTACTCAGGAGGCTGAGGCAGAAGAATGGAGAATCGCTTGAACATGGGAGGCGGAAGTTGCAGTGAGCCAAGGTCGTGCCACTGCACTGCACTCCAGCCTGAGCAACAGGAACAAAACTCTATCTAAAACAAACAAACAAACAAACAAACAAACAAAACACCTCTTCACTTTTTTCCCTCTCTGCAAAGACATCATTAAGGAAAAATAAAATGCAGTTTATCTTGCCATAACACAGTTTTAATTTGCTTGCCGCTTGTTTGAAGGAAATTGTCTACCATATGCATGTTTGTAAATTGCTGTTCTACTGTTTTTCCAGTCCACTGTTTGTGGTGAGGATGTGCTTGTTGGCTGCTCTCAAGCCAGCCACTTTTGTGTCTGCTGCACCTGTGTCCACAGATCTAACCCATCTCTTCTTTTTCATCAACCTCTGGTGGACCTGCCACCAAATTTTTGTAAAAACCCTTACAAGAAAGACGATCACTCTCCTAGGTTAACACTATCTTTTCAATGTCTACTGACGTATTTACCCTACAAGCTATTTTGGGGGGTTAACCTCAATAAGTGAATACATGTCATAATGCCATGTACCTAAAAGGCATTTGCTGTTTAAGACAAACAATAATGGCTTATGGTAAATATGTAGCCCGTGGATATACACAGCCACTGTCAATATTAGTTCTAAATTCCATGTCCCTACAACTTCTAGATGCCTTTGCTAATATCATTTTTCTACTTTCTAGAAGATTCCAAACACTAATTATGTTCTAGGTGGCTGAGCATGGTAGCTCATGCCTGCAATCCCAGCACTTTGAGAGGGTGAGGTGGGAGGATCACCTGAGCCCGGAAGTTTGAGACCAGCCTGAACAACATAGTGAAACCCCATTTCTTAAAAGAAAGAGAAATAATAATAATGTTTTAGGAGTGGAAAGTGAGACCAGAAGAGGGGCCAACAAGCATTTATGGAATGACTACTCTAAGCAGGGAATTATGCTTCATGTTGTCAGCATCAGGGATGAGTAATAGTCTCTGCTCTTAACTAACTTACAGAGATAAGGACTAGCAAACACGGTATCTAAAAACCTCTAGGATCCATTTTTATTCATCTCACAGTCTCTGTAGGAGGAAAGACGTAAGAGATGGATGTTGAGTGGGAAATCAGCAATGCCTACTACCAGGGATTGCAAATGGTATATCTGACAGGTTGGAGGAGATTCTGGAAAAAGCTAAATTGCAGTGATGGACAACGGGCTCATGGAATACAGAAAACTCACTGTTACATAAAATCTAGCAAGGAGGCTCCTACTCAGTAGTAGGCCCCAAAGAGAAGGAACATAGACATCTGGGGAAAACAAAAGAAAACAAAACACAGATGTTGTAGTTTAAATCCTTGCTGCTCAAAATGTGGCCCTATCCCAGACCCATTCTATTAGAATCTGCATATTAACAAGATTCCCCTACAGTCCAGAGCAAACCAAGGTAATTGTTCACCCTACAACAGTTTCTCAAATTTTAATGGGCTTAATGAACTCTGGGGATCCTGTTAATATGAAGATTCTAATAGAATGGATCTGGGGAAAGTCAGTGCTAAAACTGGATAGTCTCAGGCAAACTGGGACCTTGGTCACCCTAGAAGTACTACTTTACACTGCCTCATCCTGTTTCCCAGGATGCCTATACACTGGGTGAGAGATAACTACATGTGAAAATATAGAATTTTCTCGCTGTGAATCCAAGTGGCACACAGGAAGGAGAAAGTGTATTGTGAAGGGAACCAAAATATTTCATCCCAAAATATACTTTTGATATATTTTGAGATGGCTGTTCATAGGGCCTGCAGACAGAAGTAGTCCTGCAAAGCTGTCTTTTGTCAGGAGATCTACACCTGTAGAAGAGATAAAGTGAAGTCAACAGCAGATACAACAAACTTTCTTGGAAGCACCCCCCTAGTCTGGACTTAGGAGAAATTAACTGAGAGTCCGGTTAAGAGATGGTAAAGAAACATTTACTGTCTATTCTCTCTCGGTGCTGCTACCTTTGAGGATTAATCTGTATAATAAGACCACCTTTGTTAGTCAGGCCTCCTTTTCTCTTCCTCCCACAAACTATGTTGCAAGTTGAAATTTAAAAAATAAAAATAAAAAAACCAAACACCTATCTTCCAGCCTGAGCAACATGGCAAGACCCCATCTATACTAAAAATAGAAAAATTAGCCAGGTGTGGTGGCATGTACCTGTGGTCCCAGCTACTCAGGAGGCTGAGATGGGAGGGTCACTTGAGCCCACAGGCCAGAGGTTGTGGTGAGCTGAGATTGCACCACTGCACTCCAGCCTGGGCAACAGAGTGAGACCCTGTCTCAAACAAAACAAAACAAAACACCTATCTTGCCACCATAAACTGGTTTACCACCATAATGAGTTTTTTTCCATGCTCTGAGCCCCTATTCTTTCTGTAACCTCAAGGTGGCATAGAGGGAGTTAGCTCCCCTATCTCCCAGTTCCTGTGGGAGGGTAAGAGCCTAATTTCAGTGGAGACTTTCTTACAATCTGCAAAACTACCTCTTGTCATAAAGATATAGGAAGTGTGGTTTCTTCTTCAGATAAAGCCAATTAGACAACGCAGGTGGTCTTCTCAATGACCATGGTAAAGTTAGAATGAACCATGTGTGACAAAAGGTCCTGTCAAGTTTTCTTACTTGAGAAATAATGATAGTTTATCTTGACCATGTGTATGTAATGGGTTGTGTGTGCTTGACTATATAGGGGGATGAGCTTTCTTTCCGTCTTTGCAGTCCTTTAGCAAACTGCCTGCGATGTCCATCACATTCTGGTTGAATGCTTGTTCAATAATAAAAAGTGTTTTCTTTCTCTTCTATTTCTGTGGAATTGTTATCTGGATTGAGAGGCGATTTTGTTTTTAATTATATTTCCCCAACACCTTTAAGAAGGTGGGTGTCCCCACCCAAATCTCATGTCAAATTATAATCCCCATGTGTCAGGGGAGGGGCCTGGTGGGGGCAGATTTCCCCTTGCTGTTCTTGTGATAGTGAGTGAGTTCTCATGAGATCTGACGGTTCAAAAGTGTGGCATTTCCCACTTCGCACTCTCTCTCTCCTGCTGCCATGTGAAGGTGTGTCTTGTTTCCCCTTCACTTCTGCCATGATTGTTAGTATGCTGAGATCCTCCCAGCCATTTAGAACTGTGAGTCAATTAAACCTCTTTTCTTCATAAATTACACAGTCTCAGGTAGCATCTTTATAACAGTGTGAGAATGGACTAATACACCCAAATAAACTCCTTAAACATGCCTGGACTTCTTGGTTTCTTTCACTGAGCTTTAATGTCCAGGTGCATGGCTTCTTGACAGTAAAGTTCCCTGTTAGCAATGCCTTGCAGGGGGGTGTAAGCACTTTTCTCTATCCCAAGATGCCTTTCAGAGGCTAAAGCAGAGACAGAATTTGAGCTGATAACCAAATGGCATCCCATCACAGGATTTTATTCAACAAAAACTTACTGTCTTTTGTGTACCCGCCAGTGTGCTAAAACTCAAATATGGTCCAATCTACAAGCTCACTGATTTTTTTTTTTTTTGAGACAAGGTCTTGCTCTGTCACCCAGGGTGGAGTACAGTGGCACAATCTTGGCTTACTGCAGTCTTGACCCCCTGGGCTCAAGCAATACTACTACCTCAGCCTCCAAAGTAGCTGGGACTACCGGTGCACACCACCATGTCTGGCTAATTTTTGTATTTTTGTACAGATGAGGTTTGACCATGTTGTCCAGGCTGGTCTCGAACTCCTGAGCTCAAGCAATCTGCCAGCGTTGGCTTTCCAAAGTTCTAGGATTACAGGTATGAGCCACTGCACCTGTCCAGGCTTGCTGATTCTTAACCCAACATAATTTTTTTCTTTTGCTATTTAACAAAGCTATAATAAACGTTTGTGTCTTTTGGTCTACATAAACAACATACCACATTAAGCAGATTAACCATCAGCTCTATTTTGACATTTATACCGTGTTTTTTTTTTTTTTTTTTTTGACAGAGTCTTGCTCTGTCACCCAGTCTGGAGTACGATCTCGGCTCACTGCAACATTTGCCTCATGGGTTCAAGCAATTCTCCGGCTTCAGCCTCCCAGATAGCTGGGATTACAAGTGTGTGCCACCATGCCTGGCTAATTTTTTGTATTTTTGATGGAGACAGGGTTTCACCATATTGGCCATCCTCGTCTTGAGCTCCTGACCTCAGGTGATCCACCCACCTCCCAAAGTGCTGGGATTAAAGTGAACCACCACTCCTGGCTTATACAGTGATTTTTTTTCTTTCTTTTATTTTTGAAACAGAGTGTCACTCTGCCACTCAGGCTGAGTGCAGAGGTGTGATCACAGCTCACCACAGCCTAGGCCTCCTGGGTTCAAGCAATCCTCCTGCCCCAGCCTCCCAAGTAGCTGGGACTATAGATGCCACCACACCCAGCTAATTTTTTTTATTTTTTTGTACAGAGAGGGTCCTGCTCTGTTGCCCAGGCTGGTCTCAAACTTCTGGCGTCCAGCAATCCCCCAACTCCAGCCTCCTAAAGTGCCCAGATTACAGGCATGAGTCACCTCACCCAATTGATTTTTTACTTTTATCAAATTTATTCTGATGTATTATAACATTTGAGTGTCACAGAGCTTCAATAGGCAGGGTGGATGTTATTATCCCTGAGTGTTAGGTGAATGCACTGTTTCAAAGAGAATAACTTTCTCCAGGAAAAACAACGAGTTAATATTACAATAAAGCCCAACAAGCAGGTCTCTTGACTGATCTCAGGGCTCAGACTCATTCTGCAGAGCCAAAAGGCTCTAAGTTTTTTAACTCTTTAAAAGTAAGAAGTAACTTACTAATGAATGGGTGCATGTCTTCACAATGACAGATAAGAAGAATGGAAAATCCCAGGGCATTTGAACTCTTGACAAGATGAAACTTTGGCTCTCTAGTGGCAGGCAGTGATAGGTCTTTCAACAGTGC
Source organism: Homo sapiens (assembly GCF_000001405.40). NCBI lineage: Eukaryota > Metazoa > Chordata > Mammalia > Primates > Hominidae > Homo > Homo sapiens. The sequence continues at coordinate 310,347 of NW_025791769.1, read as the reverse complement.
TGTGATAGGATCCACGGTGATGCTTTTATGTTTCCTTTATCTTCACTGAGACCTTGGGAAGAGGTTTGGAAGCCCGAGGAAGATTTGTTACTGAAAGAGGAGACTTTTCTGGAGAATCTGGCACACAACTTTGTTTTGCTAGGCTTTCAGGAAATTAATAGTCAGGCTGCATTCCAGCCTCAGGACCTGGGCTGGTGGCAGCTGCTAGATATTTGGTCTGGCAATTAAAAATGTCACTATTAGAAACCTTTTGCAAATTAAGACAAATACTAGGTTTGTTCCTGCTTGCTGGGGGACACACTTTTGCCTTTTCAGCTAGAGCTAATTATCTGCACCTGAGAAAATTGCTATCCAAGTGATGATCAGCCTGGGGGATCTGTGAACTGCCCTCCAGAACTTTCTGTTCTCAGCAGTCTTTATTACCTGAGAAAGCTAAAGAATTTCTACATTGCATGGAAGACCGTGTGAGAGAACGACTTTCCTCCTTATGTGTGTGTTGACTCATCTATCTGATTACACACTGAGTTAAGCTGATGATCTATACCACAGCTTTTGTGAAATGCTTGTCTGATGATGGGTGAGAGTAATTGATGGATATGGTGGACAGAGTTGATTATCTGAATCAAGGAAGTTTGTTTTGCCTCAGCAAAAACTGCTTTTGGGGGCCAGGCATGGTGGCTCACACCTGTAATCCCAGCACTTTGGGAGGCTGAGGCAGGCAGATCACTTGAGCCCAGGAGTTGGAAAGCAGCCTGGGCAACATGGCGAAACTCCAACTCTACTAAAAATACAAAAACTAGCCAGGCATGTGTAGTCCCAGCTACTCAGGAGGCTGCGATGGGAGGATTGCCTGAAGTTGAGGCTCCAGTGAGTCGAGACTGCGTCACTGGACTCCAGCCTGGATGGCAGAGTAAGACTCCATCTCAAAAAATAAAATAAAACAACCAAAAAAAACTGCTTTTGAATTCAACTTTAAAGTGAGAATTGACCTCCAAGGAGGTCATAAATGTTTGAACCTGAAAATAATTTGTCTCCTAAAAATAAAGACCACTTGGGCTTACTGAATGAGGGCAGGATCTCGGTATTATTTATTTCTGTATGCACAGCTCTGTTCTTGACACATGATATACTACAGTATGTGTTCATTGCTGAATGTTTACAGACCTGGGGACATGTTCACCAAAGTTGGTATTGGGTACACAGAGCAGAGAACCCCTTGGCAAGGCTGGGACCACTGCAAGGCTCTTAGAGAAATGTCTGAGGACTCTGTCCACATTTCAAATGTGACTTTCAAGAGGAAGAGGTGGGTGCCCGAGAGCCCTTAGGGTAACTGAGAATCAGAATGAGGGGACACAGAATGGAGTGGATCTTAGGAGTGGCATAGAAATTACTAATATCAATGTTCTTCCCCGGGTGCAGCAACTCGTTCTGAAACTGCTCAGACACTGGAGGCAAGGTAGTCTGCTTTAGTAATGATGGCCATCCATCTCCTCATGAGAAGCCTTGAAGAACTTCTACTTATTTATGCTTTTATCCAGTTTCACCAGAGAACTGTGCTAACAATGAAAGACTCACAATAGGCTGTGCTCAGGAAAATACTCAGTTTCCTGGCAAAGCTGCCTAGAGCCCCACCAGCAGCCTTGCCAGGCTGACCTATGATCTCAATGAGAAACCCTATGAGAATGCATGGAACACAAGGGAACCCGTCACCACTTGTGAAAACAATGTACCCATTAGAATCGAGGTATTGAGCAGCCTTCAGGTACAGGCCCAGGAAGGGTAGGGGTGAGAGATGGGCAAGGAGCTTATCACCTAGTAGGTAGTATGAGACAGGTATCTGATAAACACAAGACATGGTGGAAAGCATTGAGTACCATGAAAAATACACTAGAAAAATTACTGTGAGATGGTGGCAGAGAGAGAGAGTAACTGAGGATTCTTTGGAGATATCATATTTCACACAGGCTTTAAATGATTAGTAGAATTTGTACAAGCAGCTTTGGAAGTAAGAGGCAAGGGGATTCCAGACAGAGAAAAGAGAATGCGTCAAATTACTGAAGTGAAACAGCACAAACTGTGCTTTGGGATAAGCAAGCAGTTTCATTTGGCTGGAACATATGTCGGATGAGAGAGGGTATTGAGAGACAAGATTAGAAGGCTTTAAACATCAGAGGAAAGCAGTCAGCTCTTATTTGGAATCAAATTGAAAGGCACATGTGGGAATAGTCACAGGTCAGCATTTTTATCCATAGTAGAAATTTATCAGAGCTTCTACGGAGCTCACAGCTCTTTCCAATGAGATTTTCACCAGTCTCTCTGAATCTTTATAAAGAAGAACAGAGACTGTGATTAACCTTTTCTCATTTCAGGAGGAAAAGAAATAAGGTAAACTTTGAGCATGGAATATTAGATGCCAGTTATTTATCAGAGTGGATTCTGTTCTTAAGGGTATGTAGCCATCTTTTTCAGATATTCAGGCCACACAGGCAACCACTCTGTTCCCTAGGGTAAAACTAGCACTGGAATTCAAGTTCCATGTCTGACCTTTTTTTATGTCAAGCTCTTGAACAATGAAACTAGAACAGCCTCACCTAAGGCAGTGGCAGTGAAATTGGGGAAGAGGAAACAACTTCAAGAAAGAGTTTGAGGATAGACTCAATAGAACTTGGAATGAAGGAATGAAGAATGTGCATGTCAGTTCAAGTCCTCTAGAAAGTGGATGGATAAGACAGAGTTAGAAGTGCAACAGATTCATTAGCGGTAATGTCTATGAAAGACAAAACAGAGGGAACAGAAAGGGGTAGGAAAAGTCTTTAGACCATGAGGTAGGTCTGATATCTGTGAAAGGAGAGGAGAAAGGAAGGTTGATTAGATAGGAAGAGCCTCAGATTTTGGTGAAGCTCTGAGATTTGACCAACTTATTGGAGAGCTCTGATCCAAGGAATGTCAGGCAAGGAATCCTTCATTGGACAAAAATGGTGAGGCTCATTCATTGAGTAGGTGCTACAGGAAAGAGAATGACCTCAGCTCAAATGTTGTGATGGATGAAAAGGTGCTACAGGTGTAGGCTGTCAGCTAACTGCACTCCTTGCCGCAGACTTCTCTTGAGGGAAGATCTGGAAGGGTCTCTTCCATGGCTGCCACAGGGGTGAGAAGAGATAGGAATCAAAGATCAATCCAAAGCTCCTGGATAGATGGCTGGATAGTTCCTGATATTATGAACACATTTTAGAGAAATGGGCTGTGGAACACTGTCTTCTCCAAATGCCTCTGAAATAAACCTTGCTTGGAGGTAGAGAATGTGACAAGGTGACACTTTTAAGCCTGTGATTTAATATTCTTTTTTCTTGTACTCTGCACAGCATCATGTGTCATATTGCAGCTCATACTCTAAAACCACAGCTTAAGCCTCTTCTCAGATTACCTCTTCCATAAAGCTAATCCGAATGAACCCAGGATTTAAAAAAAGGTCGACACAATGCTATTGATTCAAAGCCCTTTTTAATATATCATTGCTTTTTCTTGAATTCTCTTTCCACCAATTCCTCAATATCTTTCTTATATGCCTTTCTCACTGAGAATTCTGTCTAGCCCCCTGCCAAAAATTTGTCTCCCTTCCTTCCTTCTTTTGTTTGTTTTATAAAGGCATTTACAATTTTATTAAGGGATAAATATGTATGATAAACTGTATATATTTACTGTACAAAATTGGACAAATGTTGTAATATGTATAGACCCTGTAACCATGCCACAATTAAGATGAAAAAGATTTCCATTAACCCAGAAAGTCTTCTCATGCCATTTGGTAAAATATTTATCTCTCTTTCACCAGGAAAACATTGAATTGCTTTCTGTCACTGTAGATTAGTTTGCATTGTCTAGAATTTTATACAATGGAATCATATAATTGTACTTTTTTGTCTGGCTTCTTGGACTTAGTATAATTACTTTCAACTTTATCCATCAATCAATAATCTTGTTGCCAAATACTGTTCCATTTTATGGATTTACCACAATTTGTTTACATTAAGCCATTGATAGACATTCAGTGGACTTCAATTTTTGGCTGATAAAAATAGTGCTGCCATAATTATTTAAGTGCAACTTTTCTATGAATGTATGTTTTCATAGCTCTTGGAAAAATATTTACTTAGGAATGGAATAGCTGGATTGTATGGTAAAAGAATGTTCAACTTTTTAAGAAAGTGCCAAACTGTTTTCCAAAATCGTTGTACCACTTTATATATTCAAACCAGTAGTATTTGAGAGTTCTAATTTCTCCACTTCATGTTAACATTTGGAATTATCATTTTGTTTCATCATATTTTTAAATTTTGGCCATTCTAGTCAAAGTGTAGTTGTATCCCATTTCGGTTCAATTTGCATTTCACTAATAACTCATAATGTTCAGCTTTTTTTTGTATGCCATCTATGTGTCTTCTTTGGTAAAGTGCCAGTTGAAATCATTTGCCCATTTAAACAAATTATGTTCCTTGTCTTCTCATTTTACAGTTGTAACAATTCTTTATTCTGGATAAAAGTCCTTTGTTAGATATATATTATGCAAATATTTTCTCCCAAATCTGCAACTTAGATATTATTTTATTTTTTTATTTCAGTAGGTTTTGGGGAAACAGGTGGTTTTTGGTTACATGAATAAGTTCTTTAGTGGTGATTTCTGAGTTTTCGGTGCACCCATGACCCGAGCAGTACACACTGTACCCAATGTGTAATATTTTATCTCTACCCTCCCATCCTTCCCCTCGAGTCCTCAAAGTCCATTATACCATTCTTATGCCTTTGCATCCTCATAGCTTAACTCCCACTTATAAGTGGGAACATACGATATTTGGTTTTCCACTCCTGAGTTACTTAGCTTAGAAAGTGGTCTCTAACTTCATCGAAGTTGCTACAAAAGCCATTATTTTGTTCCTTTTATAGTATTGCATGATGTACATATACAACATTTTCTTTATTCACTTGTTAGTTGATGGGCATTTAGGTTGGTTCCATATTTTATCACTTGTGAATTGTGCTGCTATAAACTTGTGTGTGCAAGTGTCTTTTTCATATAATGACTTCTTTTCCTTTGGGTAGATAACCAGCAGTGAGATTGCTGAGTCGAATGGTAGAAGTACTTTCAGTCCTTTAAGGAATCTCCATACTGTTTTCTACAGTGGTTGTACTAGTTTACATTCCCACCAGCAGTGTAAAGGTGTTCTCTTTTCACCACATCGATGCCAACAATTATTATTTTTTGATTTTTTAAATTATGGCCATTCTTGCAGGAGTTAGGTGGTATACTGAATTGTGGTTTTAATTTGTATTTCCTTGATAATGAGTAGGTGTTCTTTCCCTACTTCATGTTTTTGAATGCTTTGTCAATGATCAGTTGGGTATAAATCTTTGGCTTTATTTCTGGGTTCTCTATTCTGTTCCATTGGTCTGCATGCTTATTTTTATACCAGAACCATGCTGTTTAGGTAAGGATAGTCTCGTAGTATAGTTTGAAGTCAGGTAATGTGATGCCTCCCAATTTGCTCTTTTTGCTTAGTCTTGCTTTGGCTATGCAGGCTTTTTTTTGGTGGGGGGGTTCCATATAAATTTTAGAATTTTTTTTTTAGTTCTGCAAAGAATGATGATAGTATTTTGATGGGAATTGCATTGAATTTGTAGATTTATTTTGGCAGTATGGTCATTTTCACAATATTGATTCTATCAATCCATGAGCATGGGATGTGTTTCCATTTGTTCACGTCATCTATGATTGCTTTCAGCAGCTTTTTGTAGTTTTCCTTGTAGATGTCTTTTATCTCCTTGGTTAGGTATATTCCTAAGTTTTTGTTTGTTTGTTTGTTTTGTTTTTTGCAGCAATTGTAAAGGGGGTTAAGTTCTTGATTTGATTCTCAGCCTGGTCATTGTTGGTATGTAGCAGTGCTACTGATTTTTGTACATTGACTTTGTGTTCTGAAACATTATTGAATTCATTTATCAGATCTAGAAGCTTTTCAGATGAGTCTTTAGGGTTTTCTAGGTATACAATCATATCATCAATGAACAGCGACAGTTTGACTTCCTCTTTATTGACTTGGATGCCCTTCATTTCTTTCTTCTGCCTGATTGCTCTGGCTAGAATTTCCAGGACTACGTTGAATAGAAGTAATGAAAGTGGGCATCCTTGTCTTGTTCTACTTCTCAGGTGGAATGCTTTCAACTTTTTCCCATTCAGTATAATGTTGGCTGTGGGCTTGTAATATATGTCTTTTACTACCTTAAGCTATGTCCCTTCTATGCCAATTTTGCTGAGGGTTTTAATCATATAGGGATGCTGGATTTTGTCAAATGCTTTTTCTGTGTCTGTTGAGATGATCACGTGGTTTTTGTTTTTAATTCTGCTTATGTGGTGTATCACATGCATCAACTTGCGTATGTTAAACCATCCGTGCATCCTTTGTATGAAAGCCATTTGTTCATGGTGGATTATCTTTTTGATATTTTGATATGCTGTTGGATTTGGTTAGCTAGTATTTATTTGATTTTTGCATCTATGTTCATCAGGGATGTTGGTCTATAGTTTTCTCTTTTTGTTATATCCTTTTCTGATTTTGGTATTAATGTGATACTGGCTTCACAGAATGATTTCGAAGGATTCTGTCTTTCTCTATCTTTTGGAATTGTTTCAGTAGGATTGGTACCAATTCTTTGAATATCTACTAGAATGCAGCTGTGAATCCATCTGGTCCTGGATTTTTTTTGTTGTTGGCGATTTTTTTATTACTGTCTCAATCTTGCTAATTGTTATTGGTCTGTTCAGAGTTTCTATTTCTTCCTGATTTAATATAGGAGGGTTGTATGTTTCCAAGAATTTATCCATCTCTCCATTTTTTTAGTTTGTGTGCATAAAAGTGTTAATAGTAGTTTTGTTGACTTTCTGTCTTGATGACCTGACTAGTGCTGTCAGTGGTGTATTGAAGTCCCCCACTATTATCTCAGCATCATTTGTCTGAAAAACTAAGCTTGGTAGTGGAGAATTCTCTCAGCATTTGTTTGCCTGAAAAAGACAAAGGCCAGGGAAGTCGTCCTCAATTATTCCCTCAAATAAGTTTTCTAAAGTTTTAGATGTCTCTTCTTCCTCAGGAACACCAATTATTCTTACGTTTGGTCATTTAACATAATCCCAGCTTTCTTGAGAGCTTTGTTTACTTTTTTATTATTCTTTTTTGTTTGTCTCTGTCTAATTGGGTTAATTTGAAAGGCTTGTCTCTGAGCTCTGAAGCTCTTTCTTCGACTTGTTCTAGCCTATTGTTGAAATTTTCCATTGCATTTTGTATTTCCCTAAATGTTTCTTTCATTTCCAGAAGTTGTGATTGTTTTTCTAATGATATCTATTTTTCTTCAATATTATGCATCCGTATCCTGTATTTTTTTTAATTTCTTTAAGTTGGTTTTCACCTTTCTCTGATATCTCGTTGAGTAGCTTAATATTTAACCTTCTGAATTCTTTATATGGCAATTCAGAGGTTTCTTCCTGGTTTAAATCCATTGCTAGAGAGCTAGTGTGATCTTTTGGGGGTGTTATAGAACTATGTTTTTCATGTTACCAGAACTACTTTTCTGGTTCCTTCTCATTTCTGTAGACAATTTATTCAAATTGTTCTTGAATTCTTTTTTGATTGGACTGTGTTTTGTAGATTTAATTTTCTTTTCTTTTTTGTGTTTTCCTCTTAAGAATCAGACTTCAATGTTTATTATAGTCTAATTTGATTCTTGGTGCTTGTAGGGGTAAAGACTCTGTATGAGTTCCTTAGTTATAGAGAGTCTTTGTGTGCTGGTTTTCCCCAATGTTGGTTGTAGTAGTTATATTCTTGGTGTGTGGGTGAGTTCGACGTCTCCTCTCAAGTTGAAATGGCAGGGATCTCTTGAAACTTATCTCGTTCCCTAGTGGTGTACAATTTATTTGTTTATTTAATTTTTCCCAGTGTTTTATTTACTGATTTGATGATTCAGGCTTCAGGTCAATAGGAGAGGTAAGCCTGGTTAGGCTCCAGGTGTGGCTAAGGCAGGTGGGAAGATATAATACCCAGTGGTGGGCCAAGGTCCAAGCCTTGATGAGTAACTGGGGGCACTCTCAATTAGACGAGCTGAGGTTTTACCTTGGTGAAGAGTGGGAGCTACCTCAGCTCTCTTGCCAGGTCAGCAGGAAAGCTCTTCACCTCAAAGCCTCACTCCTGTCCTAGTGTTGCAGCTCTTCAGATGAGACAGGCACCTCTTTTAATCTATAGGAATGTTGAGTTCCAAGTAGGAAGGAATTGTGACACTGCCGCTTGTATAGGCCTGAATCTGGGGGGGTGCTCCTCCTGTGGGGCTCCACTCAGCCTGGATTGTTCCAGAAATGCTGCCTACAGGTGCCTCCACACTGCATTCTTGTGGGGGAAGCCCCAGCTGCATTTGTGGTGGAGTGGCAGTAGGGAAGAAGGACCCCTTCTCCAAGGCCCTTCACAATCACAGAGGCAGCCTGCCTGTTGGTGTAGAGGTGCAGACTTTCCCTACTGTGCCCAGCACTGCAATTGTATCTCTTCTGTGAGAAACTACCCACCAGTGGAAGGATGTGGAATTCAAGGCCTGCTGTTCAGATTCTTTTGTCCCATGGGGTGATCCCTTGATGTGGTGCTCTCCCCCTTCCTCTAGAGATGGGGCTCCCTGAGAGTTGGACTGCAGTGATTATTATTGCTTTTCTGAGACTAGTCACCCAGTGGGGCTATGGGGCTCCAGACTGCTGCTGATGAATGTCCACAAAGAGTTCAGTGATGTGATCATTTTTCAGCTCTCCCAGCTGTGGATACCAGCACCTGCTCTGGAGGAGGCATCAGAGGAGTGATGAGATTCTTTGGTTGTAGAGAGGTTTAGTGTGCTGGCTTTCTCAAATGCTGGTTATGCTAGCAGTGAAGTTGGCATGTGGACAAACTCAGGACCTCTAGTTAACTAGAATGCTGCAGGTGGTGGAATTAACTATTGTTTTCTCTTTCCTGAGAGCAGGATCATTCTGTCATGAGTTGCTATAATGGCCTGAGTTGTTTGGCCTCCAGCCAGGAGGTGGTTCTTTCAAGGCAGCACCAGTTGTGGTATTAGCAGTGGGATTTAAGCTTGCCCTAAGTTGGCCAGGGGAGGTATTCTGGCTTCTCAGGCACTCGGCAGGGCCATAAAGCTCCCAAGAGCTATAGTTTTTTGTTCAGCTACTAGGGTGGATAGAGAAAAGCCATCGGGTGGGGACAGGGTTAGGTGGGTCTGAGCTCATACTCTCCTTGGGCAGGGCTTGCTGTGGCCACTGTGGAGCATGGGGGTGGTTCTCAGGCCAACGGTGTTATGTTCCAGAGGGAAGTATGGCTGCCTCTGCTGTGTCATATGGGTCACCAGGGAAGTGAGGGATAGCAGGTAATGATAGGCCTCACTCAACTCCCATGCAGTTGTCGAGGCCAGTCTCACTCCCACAGTGCCCCACTAACAGTGCTGAGTTGGAATCCAGGCAGCCTGCAAGCAGAAATCAGACCTGCCCCAGGCTATAAGCTTCCCCATCGAGAAAGCAAGCGCGGCTTTCGTGACACACTCCTCCCCATCTGCTCATAATGGCTGTGGCTCCTGCACTTGGATCTGCAGCAGTCCCTGTTCACCCCCAAGATTCTGCTCAAGGAAGTTCATGCCCACTAGAAATTATCACAAAATTCACTTGGAAGCTTCTTTCATCTGGGCCCCTCCCTAATTCTACCGGCTGCCTTCCCTGAGGGCCTCTGTGAGATACAGTCAGATATAGTCAGGGACGGCTTCCCTGGGCTTGAGCTGGAGACTGGGAATGCCTACAAAGCTCTTCCTGCTGCTGCTTCTACTTTTAAATTTTGCATGGCTCCCTAAATCTTTTCAAGCTTTAAGTAAGGTTAAATCCTTCTCCTCTGATCTAGATTTGCAGATTCCCTAGTGAGGAAGTGTGTTCAGAGGCAGGGCTCCCCCCTCACACTTTGGGGACTCACAGTTTTTTGCCTGTCTCATGGAGTTTGCAGTGGTGTGCTGCTGCTTGTTTCAAAGGCTTCGTTTATTCTTTTGGTTTTCCTGGTGCATTCCTGTGGTGATTCTTGAAATAAAAGTTCACAGTGTGACTCTCCACAAACTGTTCTATCCATCCAAGTGAAAGATGCATGTTAGCCCTGCCTCCTATCCACCATCTTCCAGCTTTTATTTTCTTACCAGTAACCTCTGAAGAGCACGCTTTCAAAATTTTGATAAATTCAATTTATTAATTTTTAAATCTTATACTTTACACTTTTAGTGTCCTATTTAAGAAAATATGGGATAACT